>NC_000022.11:30679260-30830776 GCF_000001405.40 Homo sapiens | reverse complement strand
CTTGAACATCTGGAATTGTTGTCTAAACAGTAAATAACCCTTAAAAATAATGAATGCCTAGGGCACAGAAGATTGGTCCTGCTGAATCTCAGAAAGTCTGGCCAAAAACAAAGCATGTGTGCTGGGGGACAGGTGAGGAGTGGGATTTGGGGAAGGGATTTTGCCAGGCAGATGAGCAGTTACCAAATGGTTAATGAACTAAGAGTCACATTCCAGGGGCCCTGTCCCGTACAAACTATGCTGCTTCTAATGTAAAAATATCCGCGGTGGAGGGATGCACCCAGTGGGCCTGACCAGGAAAGACACTTGTCCTCTAACCAGCCCCACCTATGGCCGAAAGGCTGATGGCCATGCCAGGTCAGGATGCGGCAGGCAGCCCCAGGGCGCTGTCCAGGTGGGGTTCCATTCCCCAAGTCTGTGGCCTCCTTCCGCCTTGACACACCACCCAGTGTGAGCAACTACTATTTCTGAAGATATGCGTCAGGAATCATTACTCAACACACACGTCACAGGGAAACAGGACATAAAAGGAAATTTATCTTTGGCAGCCCAAAGCCCATAACTTCATTTTTATTCATATTGCTCATCTATTTGATCAGATGCTGCTGCTGGTTTGAGCTGACTGGCACTTTATAGGAAAACCAGATGCCAGGAGAATGAATCTGCAGTGGGCAGGGCCGGGCCCTACAGGACACTCCCTGATGAGGTCAGAAGAAGATGTACATCCAGCAAACCCCTCAGTCCCAGCTCCAGCTCAACCCCATGCATCCAGACTCAGGCCCCTCTCTCCATTTCACTAGCCACCTTGAGATCTTTTCACTGAAGTCTCCCAAGCCCTGCTCCCACTTTGGCCCCCGTCGGGTCACCTGTCTTAGCCTGGCACCTAAGCAGCCCTCTCTTTGCCCAGAGGCAACAGAGGTCATTGTGCTACCTTCAGGACCAGTCAAATATTATTACTAATAATTGTTTTTATTAACAGGGCTGTTGCATATGGTTGAGCAGGTTGTACATTGCACAGCCCTAGGAAGTGCCATTCACAACAGACACTATAGATTTATTTTTATTACAATGCAAATCCAGCAAATGGAAGAGTCTCGTTCTGACAAATCAGAACAATTTTAAACTATTACAACAGTTTACAAATAAGTAGAGGTAAGGGCCCGGCGTGGTGGCTCACGCCTGCAATCCCAGCACTTTGGGAGGATTTGGTTCACGCCTGTAATCCCAGCACTTTGGCAGGCAGACCATTTGAGTTCAGGAGTTCAAGACCAGTCTGGCCAACATGGGGAAACCCCATCTCTACTAAAAATACAAAAATTAGCCAGGCGTGGTGGCAGGCATCTGTAATCCCAGCTACTCGGGAGGCTGATGCAGGAGAACAGCTTGAACCCGGGAGGCAGAGGTTGCAGTGAGCCGAGATTGCACCACGGCACTGCAGCCTGGAAGACTCCAGAGCAAGACTCCGTCTCAAAAAAATAACTAAACAAAAAATAAGTAGGGGTAAAGGGTCTTGAGGAAGAGGCATCCTTTTCTAATCCACGCGAGGTGCCAAGTGAGCCCACAGCAGCCCTGCACGCCAACCCGTGAACGCCAAATGAACCAGCTCCCTGGAGAGCACGCTATGTTCTCCAGGCTCCTTGGGGCTACCAGTGGCAAAGAACCTTGACTGCCTGGCTGGGGGAGCCTGGGCCTGTCCCAGCCCCATCGCCTCCACACTGTCAATGCCTTCCTCACTGTCACTGGGCATGCTGTGGCACAGTGAACAGCCACAAGCGCACAGGGCTGGTGCTTGGCCCACGAGGGTCTCCTCTTCTCTGCTGCACTGCCCCATCATGACCCTCTTTTCCCTCCAGGCCCTTCCAGTCCAGCACAACTGCCCCCTCGCTACCTAGGGGCTCAGGGTTGGCATGAAGCCTGTTTGCTGAGGGGGACTTCTGCATAGCCAATACAAGCACTGGGGGAAGCCTGCTCTGCCCACCTCTCCCCCGTCTCCTCTCCTCCTTCCTTGAGCTCTCGCCCTCTCTACCTGTAGGCCTGCCCTTCACACAGTGACACTCACATGCACACAGGTGTGCTGCCCTCCTGGCACCTCCGACATGCTGCTCCCCCTACCTGGGACACTCTTACATACAGTGCCCCCAATCCACCCCTTAGCTGCTTGCCCACGTCGGGCCCTCTGCTGGGATCCCTGCCCACTCGCAATGCCTTTCCTCAGAGCTCATGGACTCCTGCATGCCTCAAGCTCTGTGCATATTCTCAATCTTCTCTACTTGGCATGGCCAGCGCCTCCTGGACTCTGAGTGTGGGCAGCCAGGGCCATGCCAGTCCTCTCCTTCATGGGAAGGGATCAGCGTGCAGGGTCAGAGGGATGCTGGCCTGGGGATGAGGTGAGCTGGGCTCTGCTACTCCCAGCCCCTCTGGGCTGGGTGCCTGTCACCTGGCTGTGGACACTATGTGCCCTACGCAGCTGCTGGGACAGAGTGAGTGACTGACAGACACTGTTGGCCAGATTTTCTGCCTAACGGAAAAGACAAATTCTGTCTTCTTTTACCATTTACTGTTCTTCACTCTGCCTCAAAAGCATTGAAAGATTCGAGACCTCCATCTGGCATTTAGCCTCTTTCTAATGACAAGGAATCCCCCCAGATCACCTCTCTGTATTCCCCAGGCTCGGAGGTTCTGCCCCAGAAAGTGAGTCCCCAGCCCCACCCACTGTGGCCTTCACTCAGGCCAGGCCCCTCAAGAGTTCAGCGGGTCCCCAGGCCATAGCCTTCCCCTTGACCATCCATTCAACCAACACGCGGTTAAATGCTGGGGGTGCAGGCTCTGGCCCCACTCCTGCCTGTGTGATCTTGAAAAAGTCATCTCTCTTCCTTGAGCCTCAGTTTCCCCATCTGTACAATGATATGGCCAATGATTATCTTCCTTGCTACCATTGATTAAGCACCCTTCCGTGGGCCACGGGCTTCCCACTTTCCCCTTATTCCAAGCTGCAGAGGAGCATCACTCCTCCAATGAGGGAGCTGAGGTGACTTCTTCCATGTCTCCCCTAGGTCTCATTTGGCTCCAAGGACTGGACTTGTCCCATGCCCACGGGCCCATGGTTGCCTTGACAGGTTGACTCCTTGAAACCGTTCTTCCTGGCCTCTGTGCAAATTATGGCAGTAAAACGTCACTTCCCCAACAGGTCTGTTTGTAAAATAATGTGCATTCCTATAAGGAGCCAGATTTATACTGGAGGAGATAGAAAGGATCCTACTACTAATGAGCAGCTACCATGTGCCAGGATGGGCAGGGGCTTCCATACGTATTACTGCCATCATTTTAAGACACCAAGTAGAATTCTCACCACCTTAGGCCAAAAGCAAGTGGCCAGAGGCTCTGTCATGTTAGGTTTGCATGGCAGAAGGTACCGCTTCACAGTGAGTCACACCAAGTAACAGTGACAACTCGGTGTGGGAAGACATAAATGGGGTCAGCACTACCATGAGGCCTCCTTTCCACAAGCCACACACCACCTCCAGAGCCAGCAGAGCTGTGCCCTCACAACTCCCCACTTCACATCCTTTCTTGCCCATCTGTCCTTTCTGATGCAACCCACTGGCAGGGCCCCTTTCTATATCTCACCCATCATGAGGTCCTGACACCTCGCTGAAACCTAACTGAGCATCCCCATCCTCACCTGCCACTTACTCATCCTCCAATACACAGCTGGGTGTCACCTCCTCCACTTACTCATCCTCCAATACACAGCTGGGTGTCACCTCCTCCAGGAAGCTCTCCAGGATCCCCCACTCCAGGTTCACCTAAGAGACCCACTGTCCTGTTGGAGCTTCCCTGGTTGTTCCAGAGTTCCACAGTGGGACCAGAATGGAAAGGGTGGGGGCAGGAAAGACTCCAGCCTGAGTCAGGGGAGTCCCAGTGCACCAGGGGAGTGCACCAGGGGAATGCCCCAGAGGAAGAACAGGAAGCTGAGGCCCCCAACCAGAGAGAAAACACCACCCAAGGATGCTCCTTGCCCCTCAGCCTCAGATGGCCCTTCCCATTGTTCACTTCCAGGCGGTGGGCCGGTTCCAAACACCAGTTAGACAAAAGTGCTGAGTGCTGGAGGGGAGAGGGTGGCATTAAGACACAGGTAAAACCCAGCCTCCATCTCTGGTAGCTTACAGCCTCTAGGAGGGTGAGACTTGCATCAAACAACCCAGTCCTGCTACAGAAGGGGCCCAGGAGAGGTCCGAAGGAGGGGGCACCTCCAGCCTTGGGAGGTCGGGGGAAACTTCAGGATGAACTAGAATGGGCATTGCGCCTGCAAGGATGAATTTATTATGAGGGAGGGGCAGGGAGATTGGGCCAAGTAGGCAGAGGGAGGCTGGACTGGGCATGCTATGAGGCTAGGCCCGAGGAGTGGCAAATGTGAATCCCTGGGAACCAGGAGGCCACTCTGCAGGTGCAGGGAAGGAGATTAGAGCACAGAGCCAGTCCCTTGCTTCAGGCCTTAGTCCTTCCTCCCAGGAACCTCAGCAGATGCCAAATATAGACAGTGCACTTTGGCAAGCTGTCCCCTAAAAGTCCCTATTTGTGAATTTTTGAAGGACCCCGTGTCCTCCATCAATTCCCAGCTGAAGTTCCATGAGGCTCCTTCTCTGTCCTGGCCTTTAAAGACGTAAACACATCATCAAAAACAATAACCCCTCAGAACATTCCAGGACCTGGTGCTCACATCACAGCCACTCACAGAGGCCGATGCACCGTTGCCACCAAGTTTTCTGGGGGTCTGTGCAAAGAACCTAACCGCCTGACCTGGTATGTCCGCCCCTGATGGCCCATGTTGGCTGCCATCACCCTGATCCCCTCCTGTTTCTGAGACACATCACCCAGTCAGCTGCAAGTTCAGCTCAGCTCTCTCCACCGGGAAAATCAGAGCTGGGCTCAGTATGAAGGCTGGCTTGTGGGCAAGCAGGGGTGCTTTGAGGCCGCAGACGAGAAACTGATGACCTTGGCAGTACTATGGTCAGGGCCTGCCCAAGGCCACCAGACTCTGACCTCTGGTGAGCCCACCATGCCAGGGCATGGGGTTCACACGTTCTGCTCTCGTGACTTACGTTCCAACCAGAAAAGATCCATGAGTCCAACACAGATCTGTACATGTGCATATACACATAAGTGCACACATACAAAGGCAAAGGGGAGAATGGCCAAGGGCTGAAGTCAGCACTTACAAGAGACCTCAAGTGGGTGCTTCCCCCATTGTTGCCCACCAGTCTCTGTTTGAAGCACACAGAGACACAGATACATAGGTGATTGACAGACTGGTAGGCACAGATGCATAGTATCTCATTTCAACCTCCCAGCAACCTTGCCAGGTGAGTAGGGCTTTTTGTTTGTTTTTGCCTCCTGAGTAGCTGGGATTACAGGCATACGCCACCATGCTGGGCTAATTTTTGTATTTTTAGTAAGGATGGGGTTTCACCATGTTGGCCAGGCTGGTCTCGAACTCCTGACCTCAGGTGATCTTCCCACCTCAGCTTCCCAAAATGCTAGGATTACAGGCATGAACCACCATGCCCAGCCAAGGTAAGTAGGTTTAATGCCATCTTTTAGATGGGGAAACTGAGGATCAAAAAGGTAAGAAGTCGGCTGAAGGCCAGGCAAGCAGTGGGGCTGTGCTTTGAACATGCCATTGCCCAGGGCTCCTCACATGCTTAGATCTGGGAGCAGGGTGGGGATCTGTTCTTCTGGAACCTCTTTCAATCCACGCTTCCCCTTGTTTGCAAGGATGGGGGCAACTGAGAATCACAGACGGGCACAGACACACAGCCGAGCAGCAGAGTCAGGACAAGAAGCCAGGCTCCTGACAGCCTAGCTATACCACGGGACCTCCAGAATAGAGGCCCATGTGATGCACCTCCATACGCCCAGACCTTGTCCTGCTGCTGAAATGGGCACCGCCTGGACCTCATCCCTCGGCATCCCGGAGCAGGCAGCAAGCCCATCTCCCTCTTCAACTTGCACAAAGATGGGCTTAGGTGCATGATGCAATTTCATTGGAACCCTTTCCTAAGGGGAAATTTGTGTGCGGTGACACCTCACCAGAATACCCTTTGACGTGTATAAAACAGGAGGCCAGTCTCACCCTGTTTGCATGCTGGGGACGAGGACACAATCAATTCCCATAACGATGTCAGGGGCTAGGCAGCTCCCACCTCCCAAAGCTGACCCCTAACTAGGCTTCCCGCAACCCCTAGCTATGTATGTGTTTGTATGTGGAAATCTTATAAAAACTGAGATTTCCAGCTTCTCTTGAAAACACCCTTCTGGCCTTCCCAGGCCCATTTTCACACAGAACACCTGAGGGACAAACTCCCGTATTCCCCCCTAGGGTCTCCGACATGGTAGCTGAGTTCTGGCTGCTCTTGACTGCTGCACTCGCCGCTGGGCCTCCTCCCTCCGGTGCAGCAAGCTCTGCTCCAGGCCCTGTTCTAAGCACAGTGCCCACCAACACACAACTTCCTGAGCCGCCTCCTCCCCAGGCTTGCTGTGCAGGGCAGGACACCAACAGAAGGATAAGATGGAAGGCTGGCTGGCCTAGAGGGGTCTGGCCGTCAAAAAGGTCACCCCGTCACTGCTCTCAAGATACAGCTGCTCTGGTCACACCTGAGGTTCCCTACAAAGGTGACATTCCTCCACAACCAAGCCAAGTGCTAGCAGACATCGGGTCCAATGCTCCTTGTTAACACTTCCAGACAAGGGCAACCAAGAAAATCATTAGATGAGCCAAGAGAAAAAAAACAATGTCTTTTCTTTTTAAAACTAACTCCAAAATTCTCCCTCGGAATAAATCCATCCAAACCGATGACAGAAACATCATTTAAATTTCGCGTAAAGAACATAACTACTTTAGAAATGACGCTATATCCAAAATAAAAACTGGAAACTAAGACCAATCCTCTAAAACCAGAACACACACTTTGGACGAAATTTACTTGCAAGTTTCCTTAAAGGACTCTTAAGATGGAGGTGTAGTATCAACTCCTAATGAAATACATTTCATTTACAACTGCACACACCCTAAGACCTCATATGGTGTTTCAAGAGAACTCACGTGGTTGGATGGGATTCCTGGGCTGAGGCTTGCAGCCTGCAACTTCGAAGTCCTCTGGAATGGACCAAGGTCTTATGAAGCCATTAGCATAACCAGTAAGCAGGCAAAGTTAATTACAAGGTTTATTACAGATCAGAGAGTGCTGATTTCTAAAGGAGCTGTTTCTAATAAATTCGTGTTAGGTGAAATTAACCGCCTCTGTGTCTTTTAAGTCCACAAGGTTAAAGAATCCTAATTTTTCCGAGTTTCAGATGTTAACAGAAACACTCATCAAGGTAAATACAGCAAATTTCACTCACGCAAAATTTCCAATAAAGAAGGTTTCAAGCATCAGGAATTGCAGGCAAGAGCTTACAGAGTTTGCAAGTCTTCCATTTAAGACAGCTAAGGTTTTCCCCCACGCTAGGAAGGGCCCTTGGGCTTGTGAGCCTGCACAGGCCAGGGCAGTCATTCAGGATCACCACGGGACGGGGAGGGAGGGTTGCTCAAACCCAGGCGGCCACTCGGAGAATCACACACTGAGCAAAGCCGACACCACTGGTGGCCCCAGGACGAGGCCCTTGTGGGCAAATCAGCGACTCTACAGGGGCTCCAGGGGCATGCGGACCCCAGGCCGACTCTGGGGAAGAAGAGGTAGATGGGTGGATAAAACACCGACCACCGCTTCCCCCTTCTTTTCATAAAGATATAGATTATATTTCATTTTCTTTTTGCATAGGTTAATTAGACGGACAAGTCTCTAGCCGCAGCCCCCTCTCCAAAATGCCCCGCGCGTGAAGCAAGCCGGGAGCGCACGCCGGCGGGGTGCGGGGACAGGGGTTCCCCGAGGCTCCCCGCGCTCCCCACGCCGCGAGGGAGTGACATCAGAGGCTCCCGTGGATCGATCACGCAGCAAAGCCAGGCACCGGGCGTGCATGCGCGGGGAGCCTGGCCTCCCTCCGGGTGGAAGCCCGGCAAGCACTAACCCTTCTTAAATTTATTCAGGCAGCCGGAGCTGCAGAAGGAGCGCACGGAGGCCGTGTCCCAGCAGCCGCGTCCCTTCATTTCCCGCGGCGGGGCAGCCTCCAATCGGCGGGGCGCTACATGGCGCCGGGTCCCGGGGGCTTGCACGGACGCGTGCACAGCTCGGTGGGCCGCCCGGCGGAGGCGGCGGACACTCGTGGGTCCCGGCGCCGCGTTACCACAATGCACCACTGCCGCCCGCCACCCGGTACATGAGCGCGTTAACCCCGTCCGCGCCGCGGGAGCCGAGCCCAGCCTGAGCGGCGGTGCTGCCTACCACTTCCTCCCGCCCCAGGAGCGCGGCCTCGTCCCGCGCGTCGCCTGCTGGTCCGTGCGACCCCGCGGACGCCCATGCAGGCTCCCCACTTCAATGTCACATTTTAATGCGAAAATCCGAGCGAAAGTGCTGTCCCCTGCAGCAACAAGCTCGGCGTTGCTTTATCTCAAAGGGCAAAGATGCCCTTGAGAGCTAAGGGGCACGCGGGAAATGGGGATGGCCAGGGGCCTGACGGTGATTCCAGGAAATCGGGGTCACCTCTGAGACCCTCTCATCTTCTGACCCCGCTGCCGTGGCTGGTGCACCTGTGTCTGGCCACCTGCAGACACCTGGCCACCATGCAGGAAGAAGGCAACAGGCAGGGCCCCGGGGAGCTGGGCTCCCTTAGTTCTGCTGCCACAGGCCTGCAGGCATCTGGTCACAAGGTATTTGCCCAGGCCTTTGAACACAACTCCACTGTCCAGCTGCCCACAGGCATAACCAGTAAGTTAGCAAAGTTAATTACAAGGTTTATTACAGATCAGAGAACGCTGATTTCTAAAGGAGCTGTTTCTAATAAATTCGTGTTAAGTGAAATTAACTGCCTCTGTGTCTTTTAGGTCTACAAGGTTAAAGAATCCTAGTTTTCCCCAGAGTTTCAGATGTTAACAGAAACACTCAACAAGGTAAATACAGCAAGTTTCACTTACAAAAATTTCCAGTAAAGAAGCGCCCACCGCCTCCGCCAGGCAGCCCACCGAAATCTCCGTGGGATGTGTGGTGGGCGTCAGAAACCCAACTGTCCAAATCTGAGCTTCCCTATCCCCGCACCCCCATCCCCCATCCACCGCCATTTGTACCACACCCTTCCTCAACCCTCCCCACCTCAGCTAGTGACATCATTCGGGTCAGAAACTCTGGAGTCGTCTGTGACTTCTCCGTCTCTTAGATCCACATCCAGTTGGTCAGCACATCATGATGGCTGTACCCGTAGAATACAGCCAGGATCCCTTGACTCTCACCACCTGCATGTTGTTTCTGGGGCCTGCTACGCCCTCGTCTTGCCTGTGGACTCTTACACAATCTCCCTGCAAGTCTCTCTGCTCCCACTCTGGTCCCCACAGTCTCTGCACAATATAACAGCTGAGAGATCCTGTACACTGTATGTCAGACGCTGACACTCTCCCACTCAGAGGTCTTCAACTCCACACTTGGGCCTGCCCCACTCCTCTGCTGAGGCTCCCACTTCGCTCTGCCTTATGTATGTCTCATCTTTCCCACTGGACTACAGACTCTGGGCCCTGGGACTGAGTTTTAGCCACTGCTTCATCTCCAACAGAGCCCTACCTAACTGTGCCACCTTGCAGGAGCTCAAGCAAAGGAATTGATCAAATGTAATTTATTGAAAAGGAATCCATTTTCACCAATTTAAAGCTTTTTCAAATACACATCAAAGCTCCTCTTTTAACATCTAATAGACCCAGGGAAGGTGGTGCTGGGTCAGTAATTCCCTTCCAGGCCTTTGAGGCAACTGAGTACTTCTTTCACCTGGAGAATTAATCCTTAACAATTGAGTTAGATTCACTGGCCGGGCAGGGGGATAGAAAGCATTTAGCCATTCTGGGCCTTGGTTTTCTGGCTGCAAAATGAAGAGCACCACAGTGATGGAAATGGTCCTAGCGATAGAGTGTTGAGAACACCAGGCTGCATGCTTGACCTGCATTTCCTCATTTCATTCTCACAGAAAAGCCTTGTTTGATAAATTTCACCAACACCCTCTTTTACAGATGAGGAGACTAAGGCTCTGAGGTCAAGTGACTTGCCCAGGGTCACCAGGCTTGGAACTGGCCTGGTCTGGCTGACCTCAGAGGCCACACTCAGAGAACCATGCTCTGCAAGGTCCCTTAAAGAGATTACTGCGCCCTGGGCTCCCAGAGGCCTCATGAGAAAAAAATGAGGTGGCGGGGGGTCTGGAATAGTGTTTTGGTTTGTTTTTAATTTTATTTTTAAAATTTTATTTTTTTTTTAGAGATGGGGTCTTACTCTGTCACCCAGACTCAAGTACAGTGACATGATCATAGCTCACTGCAGACTCAAATGCCTGGGCTCAAGCAATCCTCCTGCCTCAGCCTCCTGAGTAGCTGGGACTACTGGGGCACACCACCGTGTCCAGCTAATTTTTATTTATTTTTATTTTTTGTAGAGATGAAGTTCTTGCTTTGTTGCCTAGGCTGGGCTGGAACTTCTGGCTTCAAGCAGTCCTCCTACCTCGGCCTCCCAAAATGCTGGGATTATGGGTGTGAGCCACTGTGTTCGGTCAGAGCTGTGTTTTGAATGTTTTGGGGAAACGTTCAGAAACATACAGGCAATTTGTTTTTAAGGATTTGCATGTGCAAGAATAAATCCAACCAAAGGTATTTAACCAGGCATTATGAGTATCGTGGAATCTGAAATCTGGAGGACTCTAATGCAGAACTGTGCCCTCTGTCCTAAAGGCTGAAGAAGAGGAGGGCAGAGGAGCTGAGTGCCACATGCCACCCTCACTGCTGGTGAACCCTGGTGTCACTGAACTTCTTTCTTAGCCCCACTGTCTATTCACTCTCATCCAGAGCCATGCCTGGCTTACAGCTGGGTAATTGAGAAGAAAGGGAACAAAACATACCCTGGAACAAAATGAAAATGGTACAGAAAAAATAATTTTAAAAAATCATGTGGTCCCACTAAAGCAAACACACACACTATTTCTCTTTTCTATGTAATCATTTTACACTATAAGTCACAATCAAAAAACTATCAGATTCTGCTCATGTGAAATACTTAAAAATCTACAACCTAGCTGAACAGGCAGCCAGAAGGGTGCCAACTCGTCCTTAAAGAAAATATATTAGCTGCAAAGTCTTAGTTGAATTAGTTTGTCAAGGAAGCCGAAGAGACTGAGCCTAAGATGACCGATGGGTTCTTCTAACAGCTCCACTGGCTGCCCTGAGTCCTGTCACAAAGTTTCCCTCATATAACCGTATGCGTGAGTCTGAACCCCAGCCCCGCTCCTGTGAGCCATCTATACTCATGCATCATGGGTGTCTTTTCAGAGTCTCCCTCTGTCATCCAGGCTGGAGTCCAGTGGCATGATCTCTGCTCACTGTAACCTCTGCCTCCCGGGTTCAAGCCATTCTCTGGTCTCAGTCTCCTGAGTAGCTGAGATTATAGGCATGCACCACCACGCCCAGCTAATTTTCGTAGTTTTAGTAGAAACAGAGTTTCACCATGTTGACCAGGCTGGTCTTGAACTCCTGACCTCAGGTGATCCACCCACCTTGGCCTCTCAAAGTGCTGGGATTACAGGCGTGAGCCACAGCACCTGGCCCACGGGTGTCTTTTGAACAGGTCTAGGTTTGGGCCTCCAGCCCTCCTCTTTGTGACGTCCTAAAACCAAGTGCACCAACTCTGAAACCTTCCTGAGGTTCACTTACCCCAAATATCCTGTGCTGGCAATCCCGGGGGCAGCTGCAACCCTCCAAACTCCTATCTGACCCCACATCAAACTGGTTGCTCTGTTCACTTTGAACTCTTTGCTTTCCTCCCATGTCTATGGTTACCACTTTCCTTGTCACGCCCCACCTGGGCTGCTGCTCCTGCAACAGCCTCCCTAGAAGCTGGGCTCCCACTTCCACTTGCTACCAGAACATTACTAATCAGACTCAGTTTCCTCTATGTTCCTTCCTTTGCTCAATAATGTGGCACACACACACACACATTCAACAAATAATATTCATATTGATGTGGTTGTGTGTATCTGTTATTCATCCCAGTGCTGGATGGAGGCAACAGAGAAATATGTCCCCCAGGCACTCACGGCGGCCCCAGAAACTACTGCAAGGCCTTGGGGACAACATGGTAGTACATTAAGAATCGCAAGCACATCCACACCCTACAGCCCAGTAAGATGAACTGGACTCATCACAAGTGCAAAAAGTTCTGCACCCAGTGCCATCTGTTGCAAAAATGAAGCAACCTAACTCAATAACAGCAGGTGAATTTCATCCACTCTTTCATCAACTTCATGGAATATCAGGGAGCTGTTTAGATTTATGTAAGTGATAATGTCAGGGAAATAAACCGTGCTAAAAAAAAAACGCTGAAAGGAAAAGAGCAAATCACACAACACATTTGTAAGTCTATGAAAAGTATGCATATACTGACATGTTAAAACAGTAGGACTGGCTGGGCACGGTAGCTCATGTCTGTAATCCCAGCACTTTGGGAGGCCGAGATGAGCAGATTGCTTGAGCCTAGGAGTTTGAGGCCAGCTTGGGCAACATGGCGAAACTCCATCTTTGTAAAAACATTTTAAAAATTAGCTGGGCATAGTGGTGCATGCCTGTAGTCCCAGCTACTTGGGAGGCTGAGGTGGGAGGATTGCTTGACCCTGGGGAGGTCAAGGCTGCAGTGAGCTAAGATCAAATCACTGCACTCAAGCCTGGGTGACCCTGTCTCAAAACAAACAAAAAACCCAGTAGGATCACAGGTGAATTTCCTCAAGTGTGAGCTTCCTGAGTGCCCTGAGCTTTCTTTCCCAGGGCCTAGCACACCCACTGTAGATTCCTATTTACTTGTCTATCTCCAACAACAGACTGTGAACTCCTTCAGGGCAGAGTTGGAGGCCTTTTCTCACTAGTCTCAGCCTCCAATGTGGTCTAGCACATGGTAGGTGCATGGGAATGAATAAATCAATCAAATTGCTTCATGAAAGCAACATAATCACTCATCAAGAGCCCTTTTCACCCCAGCCTATCGAACCACATCACCCACCTGTCTTCCCAAGCCTTCCATCACTGTTCCCTTCTGTCTGCATTGCTGGTGCATTCCTCCTCACAACCCCCTTTCCCCTTTGCACCCTTGCCTCTCCCTTGATGATACCACACAGATGCCAGCACCAGCTTGGGAGTCCCATGGGAGCAAGAGCCAGTGGTGGCCTCCTGACCCAAGTTGGCCACAGCCCTCAACCGCTGTGGGTCTTGGGGATCTTTGACTTCCCCCTCCTGGCCTTGGGCTCATCACTAATGAGGGGCTGGGGCCCACAGGGGAGAAGCAGTGACCTTCTCTGTGTTTGTCTGGAGAATCAGGTTTTCCAAGTGTTTGTGAGGCATACATGGTCCTTGTGGGGCTATCTTAAGAATGAAGCCCTTTAAAGCAGCAGTGTTCTAAGAATAGCCATTCTTAGATGCTGACTGCCATCCTCATTAATAAATGATTCTGCACTGAAGCCAGAGAATTAATTTGAGAGCAATTTGTGATAATGTGTTGCTGGGCAATTAAAAAACTTCCAAGGGAAAAAACTTTCCATTTATCATTGATTATTTTAGATCAGAAAATTGAAATGGGGGCTGGGTACAGTGGCTCATGCCTGTAATCTCAGCACTTTGGAAGGCTGAGGCGGCCGGACCACTTGAGGTCAGGAGTTCAAAATCAACCTGACCAACATGGTAAAACCCCATCTCTGCTAAAAATACAAAAATTAGCCAGGTGTGGTGCGTACACCTGTAATCCCAGGTATTTGGGAGGCTGAGGCAGGAGAGTTGCTTGAACTGGGAGGCAGAGGTTGCAGTGAGCCGAGATCACACCACTGCACTCCAGCCAGGGCAACAGAGTAAGACTGTCTCAAAAAAGAAAAGGAAAAGAATGAGTGAGAGGGCACCAAGGGCACCATTCAGTTTGAAAAAAGGGAAAAGCTAGGGGTGGTGCCTAGGCCTGACTGTCCACACGTGCCCTCTGCTGGTAGGGGCAACAGAAGAGACAGAGGCCGCCTCTCTGGGAGCTGAGCCTGGAAGGTTTTGCCCTGGAGCCAGCACGGGGTTGCACTGGCATCCCTGCACATGCATTTGGAAAGGGCGGCCTGCTGGTGGGCCAGGCTACCTGGAGGACCTGAATGGAGAGTTGGGATCAGTCCCGCCACGTGGGTCTGAGGAGATCAGCGTCTTCTCAGGCCCATTCTATTGCTATGTCAGTTATTAACCAAGAGGCCTTCTGCTTGTTGAAGTCTAAATACTACTTTCACCGACAGATTCCTCAAGATAATAACAGCGCTGGAATTCCCAAGGGATGACTGCCCATTTATTTCGTCTTCAATGATTCTTTTTTAAAAATAAAAGTGACAACAAAAGGAATTGAAAATACAAATCTATTGAATGTATTGTAGAATGTTCCTCCTTTGTTGGTTATTAAAGCAACACCAATTAAAGCAGCCTTGGCGTATCCTTATATAAAAGTTGTCAAAACTTTTTATTTTTTTTTAATTATTTAATTATTTACAGCAAATGCCAGTGAGACTACAGTGCAGCTGACATGTTCACTTGTTGGCATGGGACACTGGTATGCTTGTTCCATAACATGATATTTCAGTTCATCAAGGCGCTGTGATGCTGCTGCAGCCCTTAACTCAGTAATCTGACTCCTGGGAATTTTCCCTCAGGAAATAATTCGAGAGAAGCAAAAAGCTTTCTGTACAAAGATATTTACTGCATCATTATCTGTAATAGCACAAATGGGAAACTCAAATGCTCGACAGCTATAATGATTCAGAATATTAGAGTATGGCAACTCAGTGGAATATTACACAGCCATTAAAATGAGCATGAAAAGATAGAGGATGGCCTTTTGGGCTAAGAAATTTTTAAAAAAAAGAAAAAAGAGAAAGATAGAAACTGTTAGCTATAATGTGGGGTGAAAAGGGAAGAGCATGAAGAGCCATGTTTAATATGATGCCAAACACAGGAAATACAAGTGTATGTCCTGAGGGGAGATGGGAAGCTAACATGCAAACATTAAGAGGAGGTTTGTGAGGGAGTGAGATTACTGGGGAATTTCCTGCATTGCAAATGCTCTATCACACCATGCAGTCTTTCCCACTGCAACAGTAAAAATGTAACAAGCTATAATACACTCAATTAATTGAATTATTATGCGAAACCCTTTCCCAAGAGGACAGAGGAAGTACAGAAGATATCGAAGGAGTAGGTGTCCTGCCCAGGGAGTGAGAGTTATGAGGCCATGGGGTGGGGACACAGATGGGTGACTAGTGAGCAGGAAGTCAGGGTAGTGGAGCCCAAAGAGGTTTTTTGTTTTGTTTTGTTAAAAAAGACAAGGTCTCACTCTGTTACCCAGGCTGGAGTACAGCGGCATGATCATAGCTCACTGCAATATCTGCCTCCTGGGCTCAAGCCGTCCTCCCACCTCAGCCTCCCCAGTAGCTGGGACTATAGGTACGTGCCACCATGCCTGGCTAAGTTTTGCATTTTTTTGTAGAGATGGGGTTTCACCACGTTGCCCAGGCTGGTCTCGAACTCCTTGGCTCAAGCCATCCTCCCGCCTTGGCCTCCCAAAGTGCTGGGATTACAGGTGTGAGCCACCGTGCCCGGCCCAGCCCAGAGACTTTTAACACCAGTCAGGTCACCCAGAGCCCTGGGATTTGGAGTCAAACACAGGAGTCTGAGCTCAGATCTACAAGCTGCTTATTGTGACTGAAAGCAAGTACAGAAGCCTCTCTGAGCTTTACTTCCCAGATTCTCATCCAGACATGGTGCTATCTCCCTGTAATGGGTTGAAATGTGTCCCCCCAAAATCCATATGTTGAAGTCCAAACCCCCAGGATCTCAGAATGTGACTCTCTATGGAGATAAGCCCTTTAAAGAGGTAATTAAGATAAAACAAGATCATATGGCCCAGCACTTTGGGAGGCCAAGGCGGGCAGATCACCTGAGGTCAGGAGTTTGAGACCAGCCTGGCCAACATGGTGGAACCCCATCTCTACTAAAATACAAAAATAGCTGAGAGTGGTGGCATGTGCCTGTAGTCCCAGCTACTCAAGAGACTAGGCACCAGAATCACTTGAACCCGGGAGGCGGAGGTTGCATGAGCTGAAATTGAGCCACTGCCCTCCAGCTTGGGTGACAGAGTGAGACTCCATCTTAAAAAAAAAAAAAAAACCCAACGAGATAATATGAGTGGACCCTAATCCATACGACTGGTGTCTTCATAAGAAGAGGAGGAAATGAGGACACAAACATATACACAAAGGAAGGACCATGTGAGGACATAGCAAGAAAGCAGCCATCCACAAGCAGAGGAGGCCTCAGAAGAAACCAAACCTCCCGACACCTGGAACTTGGATTTCTAGCTTCCAGAACTGTGACAGAATCAATTTCTGTTGTTTAAGCCACCGAGGCTGTGGCATTTTGTGATGACAGCCCAGGCTGACTCATATACTTCCTTATGCAGAGCTGTGAGGATAGTATCTCCAGCACAGGCGGGCACTCAAACATCATCTGGGGCCGGGCATGGTGGTTCATGCCTGTAATCCCAAAGCTGAGGCGAGTGGATCACTTGAGGTCAGGAGTTCGAGACCAGCCTGGTCAACATAGTGAAACCCCATCTCCACTAAAAATAAAAAATTTGCTGGACGTGATGGCATGCACCTGTAATCCCAGCTAATAGGGAGGCTGAGGCAGGAGAATTGCTTGAACCCGGGAGGCGGAGGTTGCGGTGAGCTGAGATCATGCCATTGCACTCTAGCCTGGATGACAAGAGCAAAACTCCATCTCAAAAAAAAAAAGAAAAAAAGTCATCTGGGAAAAGTTAGGTAAGGGTCCCAGCACCAGCTGTCCCCACACCACTGCCCTACACAAGGCTGGTGCTAGAAGAGTCAATCTCAATGTCCATCAAGGAATTAGTTTAACTGTGAAGATGTGAATGACTGTGAAGCCCCATCAAAGACAGCTTCTCCTGTGATTCCTGTAATCACTGTTATCCCTGCAGCAGCTGGGTGAGGATGGGCAGGACAGACAGCATGGCTATATAGCTTGCAAAATTAAAATTTAGTGAAGTTGAGTTTTGTTCAAAGTCAAAGAGCAAGCAGAGACTACAGAAGGGTCAAGAATGCAACATTGTGGCTGGGCGCAGTGGCTCACGCCTATAATCCCAGCACTTTGCGGGGCAGAGGCAGGTGGATCACTTGAGGCCAGGAGTTCGAGACCAGCCTGGCCAACATGGTGAAAGCTCATCTCCACTAAAAATACAAAAATTAGTCAGGCATGGTGGTGTGCACCTGTAATTCCAGCTACTCAGGAGGCTGAGGCAGGAGAATCACTTGAATCCGAGAGGTTGCAGTGAGCTGAGATTGCGCCACTGGACTCCAGCCTGGGCAACAGAGCAAGACTCCATCTCAAAAAAAAAAAAAAAAAAAAAAAAAAGAATGCAACATCGTAAGCCTCCAGGCTCCATTTTCCCCCTACTACTAAAAAACAAGCCTCTGATGGATAGACATGACAATATAAACATTTAGAAATTCCACAGCACCACAAAAACAGTGAAAAGATAAGCAACAATGAAAAAATGCTCACAAAATATATAACCAACAAAGGAGAAATAACCATAGCTAGAATAAACTTCTACAAATCAACAATTAAATCCACAAATATCCAGAGTAACAATGGCAACAAATATAAATATACAAGTCACAAAATACACACGATGGGTAAATAAACAGATAAGAGTAGACACAGTCTCAGTGAGAATAAGGGAAATGCAAAATAGAGCAAGGAAATGCCTTTTCATTCACCCATCAGAGTAACAAGGAGTAAAAAGAATGATGGGGTCGCCTCTGTGGATGATACACACTGTTGGATCATATCAATTTATGCATTATTTTTGGCTGACAATTTTATAGCATCTGTTGATACTTATCAGGTGCATCTCCTTGTAACATAGCAATTCCACTTCTAGAAATCTATGCAATGGAAAAACTCACACATATGTAAAAGATGCACGTAGAGGGAGATTTGCACAGCACTTTCTGGAATAGTAACAACATGTGAAGAATCTATTGTTCATCAAGAGGAAAATGATTAAATACATTATAATACACTATGGAATTCTATGCTGTTCTTTAAAAAATGAGGCCAGGCGTGATGGCTCAAGCCTATAATCCTAGCACTTTGAGAGGCAGGTGCAGGCAGATCACTTGAGGTCAGGAGTTTGAGACTAGCCCGGCCAACATGGTGAAACCCTGTCTCTACCAAAAATACAAAAATTAGCCAGGCATGGTGGTGCGCGCCTGTAGTCCCAGCTGCTCAGGAGGCTGAGGCAGGAGAATCACTTGAACCTGGAAGCAGGAGGTTGCAGTGAGCTGAGATTGCGCTACTGCACCCCAGCCTGGGCGACAGAGCGAGGCTGTCTCAAAAATAAAAAAATAAAAAATAAAAATGAGAAGGCTGGGTGTGGTGGCTCATGCCTGTAATCCCAGCACTTTGGGAGGCCAAAGTGGGAAGACTCCTTGAGGCAGGAGTTCAAGACCAGCCTGGGCAACATAGCAAGACCCTGTCTCTACAAAAAATAAAAAATTAGCCAGGTGTGGTTGCGTGTACCTGTAGTTCTAGGTACTTCGGAGGCTGAGGCAGGAGGATGCCTTGAGCCAGGAGGTCAAGACTGCAGTGAGCTATGCTTACACCACTGCACTCCAACATGGGTGACAAAGCAAGACCCTGTCTTTAAAAATAAAAAAAAAAATAGGCCGGGCGCGGTGGCTTATGTCTGTAATCCCAGCACTTTGGGAGGCCGAGGTGGGCAGATCACCTGAGGTCAGGAGTTCGAGACCAGCCTGGCCAACATGGTGAAACCCCGTCTCTACTAAAAACACAAAAATTGGCCGGGTGTGGTGGTGGGCGCCTGTAATCCCAGCTACTTGGGAGGCTGAGGCAGGAGAATCACTTGAACCTGGGAGGCAGAGGTTGCAGTGAGCTGCGATTGTGTCATTGCACTCCAGCCTGGGCAACAGAGCAAGACTCCATCTCAAAAATAAATAAATAAACAAACAAATAAATAAATATAAATTAAAAATAAATTTAAAAAATATAGCCACGCATGGTGGTGCATGCCTGTAATCCTAGCTACTTGGGAAGCTGAGGCACGAGAATCTCTTGAACCTGGGAGGCAAAGGTTGTGGTGAGCTGAGATCGCACCACTGCACTCCAGTCTGGGTGACAGAGCAAGACCCTGTCTCAAATAAATAAATAAATAAATAAATAAATAAAATAAATAAAAATAAAAAAAATAAAATCAGAAACTAAAAAGAAATAAAAGAGATGTATTTGTATCAACATGTAAAGATCTCCAAAATACATTGATAAGGAAAAAAGCAAGCTCTTGATCAGTATGTACAGTACAATCTCATTTTTATATATGTATGTGTGGGGGGGGGGTTGTGTATACTTATATGGCTTTGTAAATGCATGGGAAAAGATCTGGAAAATACCAGTACTGACAAATTGGTGAGTATATCTCTAGGGAGATGAGTGAGATGGGGAGGGGTCATGAAAGATGACTAAATTTTATGTTATAAATTTTAGAATCTTGAAATATTTCACAATCTTGTGTTTCCTAACTAAAATTAATGTCTCAACAAATTACAATTGGAGAGAGTGTGCCAGGATCAACTCCGGCTCACGCTGAAACCTGTGATGCCCTACGAGTGACTCTCTAATGGTGGAAGGTCAGGCATATAGAAGAATACTCCTTGGGTGAGTTTTTGGGCAGGAGGGCCCAGAGATCACATCAGAGAAGCCACCGCATCAGTGCACACAGACCAACCTGGCAGGCAGCAATCAGAGAGGGGCTGGATCATTTGGCGCACCCGTGGCACAATTCCTATGAGGCGGAGGAGCAGAGCCGCCCATGGTGACGGGCCCTGCAAAGAATGGACACAGCTGCAACCAGGTGTGGGGGCGGGGGCTCAGGTATAGTACCTGTCTTCTGGCCAGGCTGCAGGCCTCACCTCACCCTCTGCAGCCAGGCTTCCGGCTGAAGCTCATGGCCGTGGACACCAGTGACCTTGAGATTAATGGCTGTGGCTGCCCAGGAGAGGCTACCTGTGCGGTTGTCCAGGCATGCATCTGCACTCACCTCATCAGGTCTGCTCTGGACAGCATAGCCCAGAGAGGTGTCAGGAGAGGTGCCAGAAATGGATAGAGGGTGTCATAAGCAAGTGTACACAGAAGACACAAGGAAAGGCAAGAAATGACAAGTCATCCCTGAATCCAGTGGCCCTGTCTGATGCCCTCCATAGACCACTTCCTGTGGAAGACCTGAGTCACACCAACCACCCCTCTTTGAAACCCCCTGGTCCTCTTGCCACACATCCACTGTCTTCTAACCTCCTCTGTCCTCGCTTGAGGACATGAGTCAGTCCTCTCTCCCATCGTCTTCTCACTCCATGATGGGCCCAAGCGATGGTGTCCATGTCCATAGCTCCATATCCTATCCCCCATTCACATTTCCCCATCTGTAGCACCAGCACAGCCTTGCCCCTCCAAGCTATAGAACTCCACTGTCTCTTGGATGTCTCCCACATTCCACCGGTCCCCAGCTGAGCCCGACATCTCTCCTCTGCTCCCTCATCATAACTTTTCCCTCTCCAGACCATTCTTTCTTTCCCTAGGCACCAGCCAGAGACCTGAGGGTCAGCTCCTGCAGTTTCTCCTTCTCCTTGTGTCCCTATATGCAATGAATCCCCAAGTCCTTACCAAATCATTTGCAAATCCATATCGTCTTCTCCACCTCGACCAGCCACACCTCTAGCTCACTTCTGAGGTCTCAGCTTCCATGTGTACCCCTTCAGATCCATCTTCCATGACATTATGGGGACAATTTACTGAAATTACCATCTGCTCCCTGTCATTTCTCTTCCATGGCTCCCTGATATGAACAGAGTCAAGTTCAAGTTCGAAGTCCTTTGCAAACCACAGCCTACTAGGAGCTAAGCCTTGTAGGGCTCAGCACTCCCCAGTCCCAGGCCTTGGCTCCACCGGCTGCTCCCTGCTCTCATGCCTTCACTCACGGGGCCTGAGATAGCCTGGCTTTCGCTCCCTGGTGGACTTCTGCTCATCTCTGAACATGGGGTATGAGCCTTCCCTCCCCCAAGGAGACTTCCTTGACAGCTGCCACCCCAGCAAGGGGCTGGAAGGCTGCTTGGTGGAAGGCCCTTCTCAGAGTCTTCATCATACACTTCTCGATTTCTCGCAGTACTCACCACACTGACTCATAAGGCTCCATTGGAGAGTCTGTCTCCCTGAAAAATATCCAGCACCTGGGCTGGGAAGGAGTCTTACTCACTGTGTTAGTTTCCTAGGGCTGCCAAAAATGTCATGGCCTAGAACAACAGAAATTCATCTGCTTGCCGTTCTGGAGGCCGGATGTCTAAAATCAAGGTGTCAGCAAGGCCACATTCTCTGTGAAGGCTCTAGGGGAGAATCCTTCCTTGCCTCTTCCAGCTCCTGGTAGCCTCAGGTGTTCCTTGGCCGTGGCAGCATAATTCCAATCTCTGCCTCTGACTTCACATGACCTTCCCCTCTCTGTCTGTGTCTTCACCTGGTGGTCTCCTCTGTGTGTGTGTCTAAGTCCACATTTTTTTTTTTGAGACGGAGTCTCGCTCTGTCACCCAGGCTGGAGTGCAGTGGCACAATCTCAGCTCACTGCAGCCTCCACCTTCCGGGTTCAAGTGATTCTCCTGCCTCAGCCTCCCAAACAGCTGGGACTACAGGCACCCGCCACCACGCCTGGCTAATTTTTTGTATTTTTAGTAGAGATGGGGTTTCACCATGTTAGCCAGGATGGTCTCGATCTCCTGACCTCGTGATCGGCCCGCCTCAGCCTCTCAAAGTGCTGGGATTACAGGTGTCAGCCACCACGCCCGGCATAAGTCCACACTTCTCTCTTCTCATAAGGACATCAGACATATTAGATTAGGAATCACCCAAAAGACATCTTGACTTGATTCCATCTGCAAAGACCCTATTTCCAAACAAAGTCATGTTCACAGGTACAAG
The DNA here is from genome assembly GCF_000001405.40 of Homo sapiens. Lineage (NCBI taxonomy): Eukaryota > Metazoa > Chordata > Mammalia > Primates > Hominidae > Homo > Homo sapiens. The sequence continues at coordinate 30,808,542 of NC_000022.11, read as the reverse complement.
GGGTTAGGATTTCAACATATCTTTTGTTTTTCTTTTGAGACAGGGTCTCACTCTATCACCCAGGCCAGAATGCAGTGGGGTGATCATGGCTTACTACAGCCTTCACCTCCTGAGCTCAAGTGTTCCTCCCACCTCATTGTCCTGAGTAGCTGGGACTACAGGGGCACCCCACTATATCCAGCTAATTTTGTTATTTTCATTTTTTGTAGAGACAGGATCTTGCTATGTTGCCTGGGCTGGCCTTGCACTCCTGGGCTCAAGTAATTCTCCCACCTTGGCCTCCCAAAGTGCTGGGAATATAGGTGTGAGCTACCATGCCCGGCCTAACATATCTTTTGGGGGGACTTCCCTGTGTCTTCTGTGTATACCTCGCTTATGACAATTCAACCCACAACACTGGCTTTAGCACTACTGCTGCCCCACACTGTACCTGGCCTGCAGTAAAATTTGGCTGGCTGGGCATAGTGGCTCACACCTGTAATCCCCGCACTTTGGGAGGAAGAGGCAGGAGGATCGCTTGAGCCCAGGAGTTCCAGACCAGCCTAGGCAACACAGCAAGACCTTGTCTCAACAAAAAACATACAAATAAATTAGCTTGGCATGGTGGCCTGTGCCTGTAGTCCCAGCTACTCAGGAGGCTAAGGCAGGAGGATCACTTGAGCCCAGGACGTTGAGGCTACAGTGAAGTGTAAAACTGTGACTGCATCACTGCACACCAGCCTGGGCAACAGAGAAAGACCACCACAAAAAAAAGACCCAGCTGGTCCCTTGAATAGCTGACTGAGCAAGCGTGCTCTGGATTTAGGCAGGGAAAGAAAACTCAGGAAGCTCAGGGGAGGAAGGAAGGTGGCTTGGAGGAGGCAGCTCTAGAGCTGGAGGTGGGAAAGGGAAGGGACATGTCCAGGGAGAAAGAGTACCATGTGGGAGAGAAGAGCAGGCCCAGCTGCTGTGTGAGAGGCAGGGAGCTGGGCCAGTCTGCAGAAAGCCCTTCCAGGCCCGGCTGTGGCATCTGCCTTCATCCTGGAGGTGGTAGTGGGCCAGGGAAGGGTCAGCAGGAAAGCAGTGCCGAGAGCAGAATCTGTGTTCCTGAAAGATTTATCTGCTTGCGCATATAGGGGCAAGTCTACAAGGGACCCTGTGCAGGGAGGCACCCTGGCTGAAGGGCATTTGCAAAGAGTCAGTAATGAGGAGCCCAATCAGGGCAGTGGCAGCACGGCTTGAGGGAAGCGACAGAATTCAGAGAAAATGTGGTAGAAAATGAACAGGGCATGACCCCAGACAGCAAGAAGAGGAAGGAGCTGAGTCTCGCGGGGGCAGGGGCTGGAGTTCAAGGTAGGAGAGATGGGGCCAGTAACTGAAAATGGCAACCTAGGAAAAGGAGCGCACCTGCAGGAATGGCGCAAGGTTCAGCATCATGAAATGCCATTCAGTGGAAAGAGCAACCTCACGGGTAAGCTCATTAAGTAACCATCGAGGCAGGGTATGTGTGCAAAACAGCTATAAAAGTTCACACATGCCTCTTAAACAATTCAAGTTTATGGGCAACAATTGCATCTTTTTATTTCAATGCCTGGAACTCAGGCTGTTGGCAGTAGGTGCTCTTGGAGAAAGGACTCAAGTCAAGGGAAGCAAAAACTCAACTGAATAACCTTTAAATTATCTCATCACCCGGGAAATGGAAATCAATGCAGTCTGCGAACGGCAATCCTGTGCCAGCAGGGGCCAGATGGAGCTGCTAGGTGGGGAGGGAGAAAAAGGAGCTGTCCAGCTCAGTGGTATCTCTAGGGTCCATGGAGGTCCCTGGACTTGGGCAGCCCTTTCTGACAGAGCCACCAGCAACACCCAGGCTTCCCACAGAGGCACTGAGGAGCAGTCCATTAGGAGGGGTTCCTGTCCAGGGCAGTGGAATAAAGATCTCTCTCCTCCCCCCAACACCTCCATGGATGAGTCATTTCCTCTCTGGGCCTCAAGCTCTTCATTCATATTATGAGAGGTTGGCCTAGTTGATTTCCAAGGGCTCTGCTCCACCTTCTAGCCCTGTTTACTGCTGCGGCTGCTGCCCCAGCTGCTGAGATCACAAGCCCCATCCTGGAGACAGGATGATGTGGCAGGCCAGGAAGGGAAGGTACCTGACACCAGCTCTTCCCCATTGTGATTCTGCCTGGCTGGCCCTAAACCCTGCTTATTCTTCCTCCTCTTGCCACTAAGCGATGGGGCGCTCTCACCCCAATGTGAGGAGAGAGCACTGGATTGTGAGCCTGGAGATTGGGGTGACTCCGGCTCTGCTGCCCCTCCTTTCTGTGTCATCAGCTCATCTGTGAGGTCCTCTCCTCATGCTGTAGAGGCAGGGCCAGAGTCAGACCTTGGGCACTGCGACCTGTCTGAGCCTCAGTCTCTTCATTTGTATAATAAGGATGGCAGTGGTTCTCCTCTCACAGGGTCATGATGATGACTGAGTTACTGCAGGAAAGCCTGGCCTGAAACAAGCACCTTCCCATTTTAGCTGCTATTACCATAGGGCATACAGGACAGAAGAAGGAAGAGACACATATCGTTGGAGGAAACCCAGTATCAGAAAGATAGAATTTCAGGACAGAGAAGCCTCTCCATGTAACAAAACCTCCCTTGCCACAAAACCTTTCTTGGAAGGGGTTTCTCTGAACAGACTCCTCACGGCCTTTGGCATCTAGGCTCCATTCTCCTGGAGGGAACATTTCCTTTGTCCTTTTACCCAAGCTCCAGGGTTGACCAGCCAATGTTCCTGGATGACAACAGACCCAAGAAAAGTCCCTACCTTGGGAACACCACCTCCAGCAGGCCTAGGCCACCTCAAGCTATTGAGTCCTTTCATGGCCTTCACAGTTTGAACATAAACACAAATTTGAGGTACTTTTAGCTACACACACTCATGTTCCTTTAATAACCAGCGGAGGTAGACAATGGTAAGAAATATTTAGAATAACATTGAGCACCCACATGCCAATCCTGTGCAAACCAGCCAGGTATTATTTTCTCCGTTTTACAGATGATAAAACAGAGGCTTATAGAGGTTAAATCATGGCATACAATTAATAATAGGTTAAAATCAGGATTCAAACTCAGGTCTCTCAATCTGCAAAGCTGGATCTCTTTTCACTCATTAACATCACACAGCTATTGCTACCATCCCTCACATTTAACTATTCTACCAGGAACACAAGATCAATTGTTTTCACCAAAATGAAACGTGTTCTATTGACAAATAGTCATCACTACATCTTTGTTTGCTGCCTTGAGAAATCCAGACAGAAATAGTGTTCATATTTTTCATGCACGTTTTATAACTGTGCATAAATGCAGGCTTGCATGTGATACAAGCCAGTCAGGACTTCTGAACAGAGACTGTGAGCTGGATCTAGGACTGTGTATCAATCACCCAGGGTCAACCCTCAGATAGTATCTTCCTCAGTTACAGAAGAGAACTTGATCCTACTTTAATTACTGAGGAGGTTTTAAGTTGCTCAGACTATGGGTTAAAATATATATAGATAGATAGATCAATCTCAACCAGTGGAAAACTTTTTTGGCTATAAATGTAATTTTCAAAACAAATAACATGCAAGGCTCAAATACACACTTTTCCCAAAACAAAAACGATGTCCTACTGCTTAGTTGCCCTGCCATTATGCTTCTGGACTTCATATTTTTATGAAACAAGTCAGCAAGAATGTCAAAGTACAGTCATGAGTCAGCCATCCTTCCAGACAACCATTCTCTAAAGACGTTCATTCATCTGGCCAAAATATAAAGTGTTTATACGGTAGTTAAAAAATACTTTTGGGTGGAAAAAAGTGGTCAAGAATAATGTAAATCAAGTATATGTCAGATGCGCAGTTATTATACTTTTCCCTTACGACCTTCCCTCTCTACAGAACACTGGTGCGAAACAAATGGTACCTGGGTACCAAGTGGTCTGCTTTATGCAAGTAATGCTAACACATTCTTGGCATGCATTTCCATCAGCACTGCAGCACCACTGCAGCTCATACTGACCCTAAAACCAGCACATCATCTCACATATCTTCCCCCCTCCTCTTTCATTTCATCGGCACCATCAGGCATCCAATGATCCAAGGAAGCTGCCCACCAGAGTCATTTCTGATGCGCACAGCTTAAGCTAGATAGACGGAACAAAACACAGATCTCAGTCCTCCAGCAATGAACCTGTCGAGATTCAGAAGCTTCATTTACATCCATTGGGTTAGAACAGGCATCTCACATGGCTTGGAATCTAGCACAACTAGACATCTCCAGGGCTCTGGAGGATGGTCCCACTAATTCCACCTCCCCTCTCCACTCCCTCTCCTCCCCAACACACCAAATCCCTTTTGCCTAGGCAGTAAAGCCCCCCAGAAGCCCACCCATCCAGTTCTAGGAGTTAACACATCTATCTGTCTGACCTTGCCAGGTGATGGAGATGGGAACCGAATGCTGGTAGGGTCGAAGGCAGAGGTGACCCATCAAGTTTAAACACATCTCCCCCTTCAGTAGATGGCTCAAGGCAGAAGGGGGGCAGCTGTAGGGGCTGAGGAAGCCCAGAGCTCCTCTGGCTGGGTAGTTGCCCAGCGTGACCCTGAACTGCTTACTCAGAGGCACAGGCTGGCTGGAGAAGGGCTTTTCCTGTGACAGGCACCACTGGAGTTTAAAATCCCTTTTGCTTGCTGGGAACACCACACACACACATACACACACACACACCCCACTGGCAGGCAGTGCCTGCCCAGTATCCACTCCAGAGCTCCTCTGCCTGAGTCCAGCTCACTTATAACAGCCAGGTGCACTGAAGTGACCCTCGCCCCGAAGCCCTGATCATGGCAGCTCAGGTGCCTACGGAGACTGGAAGGAGGCAGGGAAAGGGCTCTACTTCTCGCTTGTAGCCCCAGTGAAGGCTGAAGCTTGCCTTCCCCTGCTAAAAGATGGCTGGCCTCTGTCTGGGCTGAATTCCAGTGGCTAGGTTGCTCGGGGCCAGGCCTCTGAACAGAGACCAGAGACGGGAAGCTGTCCCCCCTGTGGCACCAGCCTGGGCAAACAGCTTTTCCTGGTACCTTGTTGTGGGCTGCACCCAAGGTGGAGAGGAGGACATGCCTTGTGACTGTCTGGCTTCTGGCTAAACCCTTTGTCCCCTGGCTTGTGAGGGCAGAGGGGCCTGCCCTCTATCCCAGGACTGGGAAAGTGCTGAGGCATAGCTCTGAGCCCTCAGCCCTGAAAGCTGCTCAAGATCTGGGCTGGAAGAAATTTACAACGGGGAAGGGAAATTTTAAAGCCCAAGAGATCCCATGCCCCAGGACCCGTCCACCCCATCCCTCTTCCGCCCGCCCTGACTCACCCCAGGGAGGGGCTCTCGGGTGTGGACGTGGGTCCTGCCCCGAGGCTGCGAGGGCTCTTGCAGCTGCTGCTGCTGCCGCCGCCGCCGCCGCCTTCCCGCCGCCGCGCTCTCAGTCCATCTGGGTGCAGTGCCGGCTGCCACCGCCTCTCCGAGCCTGGGAGGAGGGCGGTCCCGGGATTGGGTGTGTGCTGCCCGGCGGCTCCGGGTCCGCCTCCCTGCCGCGGGCGCCGCTTCAGCACCGCGGACAGCGTCCAGCCCGCGAGCTCAGAGAGCAGCCGGACCTAGAGGAGCCGTGCGCCCGCTCCGCCCGCCCGCCCGTCAGCCTGAGCGCTGCAAGGGCGCGCCGTGCTGCGTCCTCATTCCTCCAGCCTCCTCCCCACCGCCCGAGGAGGCTCCCTCCGCCCCCTGGAGCACTGCTCGGAGAGCGATGAGAGCCGCGCGAGGCCACCGATCGGTCCCCGGAGGATCCGGCACGCCTCAGCCAGCCTTGTCCCAGGCTGGGATTAGCCTTCTTCTCTCGCCCAGAGGGCTAGATAAAGGCGAGCTCTCCGTGGCGGGACGCAGGCGGGCAGCGGAAGGCGCACCTCAGCCTCTTAAAATGCCCGAGCGTGGCCTGGAACCCGACACGACACTAAGGGCGCTATCGCGCCCCAATCGAGGCTGGAGAGGGCCGGCCCTTTGCCTGGACCCAGCAGGGGAGGGGCCCTCGGATGGTCCACGGCTCCAGCCCTCATTTCTCCAGTCACACGCTACCCGAGGTTGCAAGGAGTGATCCAGTTACAGGCGAGTCTATCTCGGGAACTAGGGGAGATGCGGTCCCATCCCCACTTGGAATCCAATTCCCTCTCCCAGCACCAACCAACAGACGGGACTGCTAGAGCCTGATGACATCTCGCAGAACCGCTTCCACATTCTATTCAAATCCCTCCCACGCCTCCTCCTCCCCAGCCAGGAAAGTCCCTGGGGGGTCATTGATTCTGACTTGGCTTCTGCCACAGACCAGCAACATGACCCAGGCCACCTGAGCCTCAGTTTCTCCTCTGAAACATGAGGGTGGGGTGGGGCTCCTTCTGGTTCCAGGCTCTGCCTACTTCATGGCCTCCCTCACGCCTTTCTGGAGTCCAAGATGAGGATACCCTACCTTCACGGAACTAAATAGGAAACTCCTGTCATTCATTCATTCATTCATTCTATTTATGTACAGACAGGGTCTTGCTCTGTTGCCCAGGCTGGAGTTCAGTGACATGATCATAGCTCACTGCAGCCTGGAACTCCTGGGCTCAAGTGATCCTCCTACCTCAACCTCCTAAATAGCTAGGTCCACAAGTGTGCACCACCATATCTAGCTAGGATTTTTTTTTGTTGTTGTTGAAATGGGGTCTTGCTGTGTTGTCCAAGCTGTTCTCAAACTCCTGGCCTCAAGTGACTCTGCTGTCTCAGCCTCCCCAAAGCACTGAGATTACAGGTATAAGCCACCGCCCCAGCCCTGCCTAATTCTTTTTAAAGCAACCACAACTTTTTAATGCCACATTAATTCAAATCCAAAGACACCTTGATTTTTACCATTTGGTGAGCTCCCGCTTTGAAGGAGAAAGATCGAATAGAATGCATTCAAGTTGAGGTTAATAATTGCTGTCCAAGCAGGCATAGAAGACTCTGCTCAAACATTCACTGACCACGGCTGCTACAAAAAGATCATGGAGCCAAAACATTTATGAAGGGCATAGGTGGAACAGGAGTGGGCATTTATCATTTAGGAAGTGTGCTAGGAAGGAGGCAAGGGTTCCTTCAGATTTCACATCAAAGAAAGGAAGCACATGCCACATATGGTACCTTAAAAAAATAAACAAAACCACTACCTCTACTTGAAAATTACTTCCAAGAGCTTATTTTTCTTTCTTCTCTTTTTTATTAAGTAACATACTGTCAAAACTCAATGACAAGAAACAAATCAGTAATCACGAGCACCAGGTTACATGGGCTTCCTGTTGCAATGGTTGCAGGTATTAAATGTGGGGACAGGGTACACAATCACCTCCCAAACACCCAATGTTTGCCAAGTGGACAAGTCTTTATGCATTTCCTCATTTGGAATGGAATTCCTGGAAGGTCTTATGACAGAAGGTTTCTTCAATTTAACTCCGTTAATAGTCTAATTTATAAAACATTCAGAATTCACCAGCATGTCTATAACCCCACCTTCCAGAAGACGAGCGAGGAACCCAGAGAAGCCAATTTCTAAACACACTCACACAGAGACAGACAGACACACACACACCATTAAAACAAAGCTTAGAATTTCCACTGACATGCCCACAAATTGAAGACCCCAAAAGATTCAGGGTTTGGAACCAACACAAACAACCCAAGCCACACAGCAAGATTTTAAATCACAGTTCAGTTACTCCATTCTTTTCTGGGTTCTGGAAAAGCCAAAGAACTGGAATACATACCACTGATTCTCACACACAAAGGCCGGAAGACACTACTGCCCCAGGTTGTCTTCTACCTTCTGCCCCACGGCTCCGGCCCTACTCTTTGACCTTGCCACTACACATGCTCATTCTGGCAGGCGGACTGTGACTTCCATTGCTGCTGACAATGAGTAAACCACCCCCAACCTGCCTGGAATGCCACCTGTATCACCAATGTTGCTGTCAAATCTAAAGCAAATCCCCCGTCCGCCCTCCCAGCCCAGCTGTGCTTTGCTCTCTCAGGTGTTCTCTGAAGACAGAAGCATGTCCATGGCTCATGCCTTCCTCCTCCCTCACAACCAGCCAGCCTGCCCCAGGTTCCACCAGTGCTTCCTTGGCTCACCATTTCCTTCTGACACTTCGGGAGGCCTGGACCCAGCCCTCCTCCTCTCTCCTTGGTCCCACATGGCAGCCTCTTCCCTGGGTCCCTGCCCCCTCTCGTAAGCTCCTCCAGAAAATCTATGAGTTCTTGCCTTCTGGTTTTGTGAGGGGCCTGTCAGCTCCCAGCAAAGTGTCCACAATACCACTAAGAGGGGCTTAATAGCTCTTGAATGAGCAAACCCAGCCAGGAAATACCAAGAATGGCATAATTTTAAATCTGCTTTGGAATTTTGTCTAATTCATATTCCCCGTTGCCCCTATTCTCACCCCCAACCCAGCCTCTGCCAAGACAACCCTTGGGACGGTAGCCTAGCCCAGGTCTGTCTTACTGGTAGGCATGACGGAAAGAGGCTCTAGGTTGCTAAAAATTTCAAAGATCAAGTTCCTTGCTGTAGGCAATAAAGACAAATGTGCACTGGGAAGGCATTCTGTAGTAGGTTATTACATAGCTATATTCAGGACCCTTTCAAACTCTGCAAACTAAATGTCAGGGCAAATAGAAACCCACAAAACAGGTGGCCTATTCTTGCCACAGTAATGCTTCAAAATACAGGAGCTGCCAGTGATGGACTGCTCCACAGGAGTGGTGAAGAGGATGGGTAAGCCACACACATTTTCTGCAGAATGAAAAAGGCATTTGCCACTTCTATCGAAATAGTAACTGAGATAACACTCTTCTAGGAGCAAAGCAAACTAACAACTAGCTTTTAAAAGCATCAGATGTGGAGTCAGGCCTAGGATGTACTTTCAGCTCTGTCACTACGAAACCCAGGGCAAGTTGCCCTTTGTCTTTGGGCCTCAGTTTCCTCATCTGTAATAAGAAGGCATTGAATTAACTACTGCCTGCAGTATCTTTCAGCCCTAAAACTCCAATGGCTCTTCAGAAACAAACCCTTGCAGGCTGGGCGTGGCGGCTCACGCCTGTAATCCCAGCACTTTGGGAGGCCAAGCCGGGCAGATCACTTGAGGCCAGGGGTTTTTCAAGACCAGCTTGGTCTCGAAGACCAAGACATGGTGAGACCCTGTCTCTATTAAAAATACAAAAATTAGCTGGGTGTGGTGGTGGGCGCCTGTAGTCCCAGCTACTTGGGAGGCTGAGGCAGGAGGATGGCCTCAACCTGGGAGGCAGAGGCTGCAGTGAGCTGAGATTGCACCGCTGCACTCCAGCCTGGGCGACACAGTGAGACCCTATCTCAAAAGAGAAAGAAAGGAAGGAAGGAAGGAAGGAAGGAAGGAAGGAAGGAAGGAAGGAAGGAAGGAAGGAAACCTTTGCATGTATAGTCAAATAATTTCTTTTTTTTTTTTTTTTGAGACAGAGTCTCACTCTGTCACCCAGGCTGGAGTGCAATGGCACAATCTCAACTCACTGAAACCTCCGCCTCCTGGGTTCAAATGATTGTTCCACCTCAGCCTCTCAAGTAGCTGGGACTACAGACGTGTGCCACCATGCCCAGCTAAAGTTTGTATTTTTTAGTACAGACAAGGTTTCACCATGTTGGCCAGGCTGGTCTTGAACTCCTGACCTCAGGTGATCTGCCTGCCTTGGCCTCCCAAAGTGCTGGGATTACAGGTGTGAGCCACCATGCCCAGCTGATCAAATGACTTCTGACAAGTGTGCCAAGACCATTCAGTAGGTAAAAAATAGTCTTTTCAACAAATGTTGCTGTGAAAAGTGTGTATCCACATACTGAAGAATGAAATCAAACCTTTACCTAACACCATATACAGAAATTAACTCAAAAGGATCAAAGACTGAAATGTGAGAGCTGAAACTATAAAACAGTTATAAGCAAAACCTTAGTGCAAAAGCTTCACAACATTGGAATTGGCAAACATTTCTTGGGTATGATACCAAAGGTACAGACGATAACAAAAATAGACAAAATGGACTTCGTGAAAATTAAAAAATTTATGCCTCCAAGGACACTATCAACAGAGTAAAAACAAAACCACAGGATGTGAGAAAATATTTGCAAATCATATATATGGTAAGGGATTAATATACAGAATACAGAACTCCTAAAACTCAACAACAAAAAACCCAATCCGATTCAAAAATGGGCAAAGGACTTTAGTAGACATTTATCCAAAGAAGATACACAAATGGCCAATACGTACATGAAAAGATGCTTGGCTTCATTAATCATTAGGAAAATGCAAATCAAAAGCACAATGAGATACCACCTTACACCCACTAGGACGGCTACCATCTAAAAAACTGAAAATAACAAGTGTTGGCAAGGATGTGGAGAATTTAAAACTCAGCGTTGGTGGGAATATAAAATGGTTGAGCAGCTGCTGTGGAAAATAGGGTGGAGGTTCCTCAAAATATTAAAAATAGGATTATTATTATGACCCAGCAATTCCACTTCTGGGCATATACCAGGGTCTCAAAGAGATACGTGTACACCAATATCCATAGCAGCATTGGCTGGGTATGGTGGCTCACACCTGTAATCCTAGCACTTTGGGAGACCAAGGTGGGTGGATTGCTTGAGCTCAGGAGTTTGAGACCAGTCTGGGCAACATGGCAAAACCCCATCTCTCTACGAAAAGTACAAAGATTAGCCAGGCATGGTGGCTGGCGCCTGTAGTCCTAGTTACTCAGGAGGCTGAGGTGGGAGAATCACCTGAACCCGGGAGGTTGAGGCTGCAGTGAGCCTTGATTGTGCCACTGCACTCCAGCCTGGGTGAGAGCCTGTCTAAAAAAAAAAAAAAATTAGTTAAATAAAAATAAATAGGGCCAGGTGTGGTGGCTCACGATTATAATCCCAGCACTTTGGGAGGCCGAGGTGGGCTGATCGCGAGGTCAGGAGTTTGAGACCAGCCTGGCCAACATGGTGAAACCCCGTCTCTACTAAAGATACAAAAAATTAACTGGGTGTGGTGGCACATGCCTGTAATCCCAGCTACTCGAGAGGCTGAGGCAGGAGAATCGCTTGAAGCCAGGAGGCGGAGTTTGCAGTGAGCCAAGATTGTGCCACTGCACTCCAGCCTGGGTGACAGGGCGGAGACTTTGTCTCAAAAAAAATAAAATAATAAATAAATAAACATAGCAGCATTGCTCACAATAGCTAAAACATGGAAGACACAAAATGTAGTCTATCCATACAGTGGAATACTGGTTAGCCTTAAAAAGGAAGGAAATTCTATCATATGCTACAGCATGGAAAAACCTGGAAGACATTATGCTAAGGGAAATAGATCAGACACAAAAAGATAAATACCATATGATTCCACTTATATGAGGTACCTAGAATAGTCAAATCCAAACAGACAGAAAGTAGAATGGTGGGAGCCAGGGGCTAAAGGGAGTGAGGAATGGGGAGTTACTGTTTCATGGGTCAAGAGTTTTGGAAAATGAAAGGAGTTCAGGAGATGGATAGGTGGATTATTGCTGGTCATGGATGCACAACAACACTAATATATTTAATGCCACTGAACATTACACTTAAAAGTGGTTAATATGGTAAACGTTATGATATGTGTATTTTGCTACAACAAAAACAAATTTTGGCTGGGTGCCGTGGCTCACGCCTGTAATCCCAGCACTTTGGGAGGCTAAGGTGGGTGGATCACTTGAGGTCAGGAGTTCGAGACCAACCTGGTCAACATGGTGAACCCCCCTGTCTCTACTAAAAATATAAAAATTAGCTGGGCTTGGTGGCATGAGCCTGTAATCCCAGCTACTAGGGAGGCTGAGACATGAAAATCTCTTGAACCTGGGAGGTGGAGGTTGCAGTAAACTGAGATCGTATCACTGCACTCCAGCCTGGGCGACAGAGTAAGAACCTGTTTCAAATAAATAAATAAATAAATAATTAAAAAAAATTAAACCCAATGGTTCTTATCTAAAGCACATATATTAACAAAGAATAGAAGATAATTTAAAATAACATAGGGTAGTAGAGTTTAATATCAAAATTATTTCCCTTGTAAATATATTTATGTTTACAATGTTCTAAAACTTGAGATTCATAAGGAGTAAAAGCAAGAAAAACAAATTCAACCCTGAGCATCATCCTTGTGTCCTTGGTTAACCAAGGGGCCCTCAGTGAGGTCGATCCAGCCCAGGAGATCAGCATTTCCCTCAGCAGTCACCAAGAAGCTATATCCACATAAAGCCAGGGCCTTGTGTGACTCTCCTCCTAGATCCTAGGAAGTTCTCAAAGACTCAATGCCTTCCTTGCATGAAGCCCATGGCAGTTAGGGCAATCAGAGAAAATACTACAGAAGAGAAATGTAAACTTTCAAAAATACAGATGGCTGAAATGTCAAGAACCAGTGAGAGAAACCACTTGGCATATCTAGGGTGTTCAAAGCAGCTTGACTGGCAAGGAGCCAACTTGAAAATAATTATGGTTAATAAGTTTTTAAAAAAGGAAAGATAAAGGACAAAATGGATGAATACATGGAGCATTTCAACAGAATTGGAAATCTATACAAATAATCAAATAGACATTCCAAGATTTAAAAACATATCTGAAGCTAAGAATGCACTGGAGGCTGGGCAGGGTGGCTCATGCCTGTAATCCCAGCACTTTGGGAGGCCAAGGCAGGCGGATCACCTGAGGTCGGGAGTTTGAGATCAGCCTGACCAACATGGAGAAACCCCATCTCTACTAAAAATACAAAATTAGCTGGGCGTGGTGGCGCATGCCTGTAATCCCAGCTACTTGGGAGGCTGAGACAGGAGAATTGCTTGAACCTGGGAGGCGGAGGTTGTGGTGAGCCGAGATCATACCATTGCACTACAGCCTGGGCAACAAGAGTGAAACTCCATCTCAAAAAAAAAAAAAAAAAATGCATTGGATAGGTTTAACGGCAGAATGGATAAAAAGAATGGAAAAGATAGAAGAGTGCATAAAGACATGTGGTTCAAAAAGTCTAATATACATGTAATTTGTGTCCCATAAGAGGAAGAGAGAAGAGAGAACAGGTTCAGAAGCAGTTTTGGACGAAATAAAGGTGATGAATTTTTCCCAAATATGGTGAAAGACATTAACCCACAGATTCAAGAAGCTCAATGAGACCCAAAAAGGAGAAACAAAACAAAATCTTACCTATACACATCATAGTCAAAGCCCTGAAGACCAAAGATAGAAAATCTTAGGTCAGGCCCAGTGGCTTACACCTGTAACCCCAGCACTTTGGGAGGCTGAGGCAGGAGGATTACTTGAGCTCAGGTGCTCAAGACCAGCCTGGGAAGACGATGAGATCCCATCTCTACAAAAAAATTTAAAACATCACCTGGGTGCAGTGGTGTGTACCTGTAGTCCCAGCTACTTGGGAGGCTGAGGCAGGGGAATCACTTGAACTGGGAGGTGGAGGTTGCAGTGAGCAGAGATTGCGCCACTGCACTCCAGCCTGGGTGACAGAGCGAGACTCTGTCTCAAAAAAAAAAAAAAGTAGTTATATAAATATTGATTGCTTAAAACAATAACAATTATGCTTTGTGGAATGTATACATGTATGAATAAAACATAAAATAACAATAATACGAAAAGTAACGGGAATTTTTTTTTTTTGAGACGGTCTCACTGTGTTGCCCAGGCTGGAGTGCAGTGATGCAATCTCGGCTCACTGCAACTTCCACCTCCCGGGTTTAGGTGATCCTTCCACCTCAGCCTCCTGGAAGATATTTAACTGTTGTTAGCTTCTTAAATTGTCTGGGAAGTAGCAAATTAATAACTTAAAGTAGATTATAATATATCAAATATTCATATTATAATCTCCTTCATTAAAAAAAGAAGGTACAGGGTGGGCGTGGTGGCTCACGCCTGTAATCCCAGCACTTTGGGAGGCTGAGGCGGGCGGATCACTCGAGGTCAGGAGTTCAAGACCAGCCTGACCAACATGGTGAAACCCTGTCTCTACTAAAAATATAAAAATTAGTCGGACATGATGTCGGGCGCCTGTCATCTCAGCTACTCAGGAGGCTGAGGCAGGAGAATCACTGGAACCCACCGGGAGGCGGAGGTTGCAATGAGTCGAGATCGTGCCACTGCACCCCAGCCTAGGCGACAGAGTGAGACTCCGTCTCAAAAAAAAAAAAAAAAATGAATAGAGGAGGAGAGAATAAGATAATTTTATTTATTTTTTAAATTATTAAAAAACATTTTTTTTAGAGACCAGGTCTCACTATGTTGCCCAGGCTGGTCTTGAACTCCTGGGCTCAAGTGATCTTCCTGCCTTGGCCTCCCAAAGTGCTTGGATTATAGGCGTGAGCCACCATGCCTGGCTTGAAGTAATTTTTAAGTGCTTGCTTAATAATTTTAAAAATGAGATAGAAGGATGTCCATGTTATGGCATGTGTCAGAATTTCCTTCCTTTTAAAAGCTGAATAATATTCCAGTGTATGGATGTACCACATTTTGTTTATCCATTCATCATAAATGAACACTTGGGTTGCATCCACCTTTGGGCTACTGTGAATAATGCTGTATGAACATGGGTGTACAACTTAGACCACTTTTTCTTAGAGATAGGGTCTTACTCTGTAGTCCAGACTGGAATGCAGTGGTGCAACCATAGCTCACTGCAGCCTCAAACTCCTGGGCTCAGCCTCCCAAATGACTAGGACTATAGGTGTGCACCACCACGTGGGTCTAATTTTTTATTTTTTTATTTTTTGAGACAAGGTCTGGCTCTGGGACTATAGGAGCATACCACCATGCCTAGTTAATTTTTGTATTTTTTTGCAGAGATGGGGTTTTGTCATGTTGCCCAGGCTGGTCTTGAACTGGTAAGCTCAAGTGATCCTCCCACCTTGGCCTCCCAAAGTGTTGGGATTACAGGCATGAGTCACCGTGCACAGCCTAGTTTTTTTGTAGAGATGTTTGTTACCCAGGTTGGTCTTGAACTCCTGTCCTCAAGCAATCGTCCAGCCTCAGCCTCCCAAAGTGCTGGGATTACTGGTGTGAACCAGTGTACCCAGACCTAAATCCTCTTTTTTCCCAGGCTGGAGTGCAGTGGTGTGATCTCAGCTCACTGCAACCTCCACCTCCTGAGTTCAAGTGATTCTCCTGCCTCAGCCTCCTGAGTAGCTGGGATTACAGGCACCTGCCACCACACCTGGCTAGTTTTTGTATTTTTAGTAGAGATGGGTTTTCACCATGTTGACCAGGCTGGTCTTGAACTCCTGACCTCAAGTGATCCGCCCACCTTAGCCTCCCAAAGTGTTGGGATTACAGGCGTGAGCCACCGCACCCGGCTCCTAAATCCTTTTTCAAGTCAACCTTTTAGCTGAACTACAATCTAATTTACTCTTATCTTCAGTTTTGAGACAATGTGGTGGACTGGATGGAGCAGAAAACCTGGAATCAGATAGTCTTGGATTAAAATCCAGGCTCTGCCATTTACTAACTCAGTGATTGTGGACAAGTCACTTGGAAGATGACCCATAATGCATGTAAACATGCCAGGCACACAGTAGGCACACATAGTGGTGATTATTAACATTACTCACATGAGCTCAGACCACCTCCCCAGTGTTAGGCTGGCTGGGGAATATGAGAGACTGTGGCCCTCACAGTGCTGGTGTGGAAGACCGGAGGCTTGTGCTTTTCATAGGGTTCACTTTCTCCCGAAGAGACAAGACAAACCAAAACTTGTAAGAGCTGCCAATCAACTTTTATCTCTATAAAACATGTTGCCAACCAATGATAATTGGCCGAAGAGTACAGTTCATTTTGCTTGAGAATATTACTTCTATTCATCTGACTTTAATTGCCATATGCTGGTGGCAAGACCAGATTATGAATGATTCATGCATAGACACAATGACTAATTAAACCCTAAAGAGACTATTCATTAAAAAGTATAAATGCAAACTTTTTACCCGTGGGCCTGTAAGTAGATGTCTGCAGGAAGCATTTACAGGAAGGTTTATAACCTCAGTTTCTTCTGTAAACAATACTGCAGATGGTGGATGAAAAAAATACTTGTATTCATAAACTATTTCTTATCATGCAAACCATAGTGATTGATAATTCTTTTTTTTTTTTTGAGACAGTAGAGTCTCGCTCTGTCGCCCAGGCTGGAGTGCAGTGGTGCGATCTCAATTCACTGCAAGCTCCACCTCCCGAGTTCAAGCAATTCTCCTGCCTTAGCCTCCTGAGTAGGTGGGATTACAGGCATGTGCCACCACACCTGGCTAATGTTTCGTATTTTTAGTAGAAACGGGGTTTCACCATGTTGGCTAGGCTGATCTTGAACTCCTGACCTCCAGTGATCCACCCATCTCAGCCTCCCAAAGTGCTGGGATTACAGGCATGAGCCACTGCACCTGGCCTGATTGAAACTTCTGTATGCGGTTCCTAAATACTTTGTTTTTTCCTGTTTTGATTATGATATTTTATCATAATCTCTCTGACTCTATATATTTGGTAATACTTATCTATATACCCATTGAGTGATAATAATCTGTATACCCACTGATGTGGGGGCAGAATAAGAGGGTTCTTAAACCATTTATTATAAAGGCTCCTGAAATCCCCACTGGCCTGGGTCTAGCCCTGAGAGATGATGATGACCTTCCTATCTTGCAGCTCTTCCTAGCTAAGACACTCTTCCATTCAACAATTCATTTTTCTCTATCCGCAAAGCAGAATTAAGATTGACAATGTATTTCACAAAACTGTGGCACGGATACATTAAAGAGACAGGACTGATTTTATTTAGAATGCCCCAATATGAGCGGGGCACGGTGGCTCTCGCCTGTAATCCCAGCACTTTGGGAGGCCGAGGCGGGCGGATCACTTCAGGTCAGGAGTTTGAGACCAGCCTGGCCAACATGGTGAAACTGTGTCTCTACTAAAAACACAAAAATTAGCCAGGTTTGGGGGCACACGCCTGTAATCCCAGCTACTCGGGAAGCTGAGGCACAAGAATCGCTTGAACCTGGGAGGTGGAGGTTGCAGTGAGCCGAGATCACACAACTGCACTCCAGCCTGGATGACAGAGCCAGACTCTGTCAAAAAAAAAAAAAAAAAAAAAAAAAGAAGAATCCCCCAATATATAAGCTCCTGCAGCCTGAAAAAGAGATGTGTTGGCTGGGCATGGTGGCTCACACCTGTAATCCCAACAGTGTGGGAGGCCTAGGCGGGTGGATCACATGAGGTCAGGAGTTCAAGATCATGGCCAACATGGTGAAACCCCGTCTCTTCTAAAAATACAAAATTAGCTGGGCATGGTGGTGGGCACTCAGCTACTTGGGAGGCTGAGGCAGGAGAATCATTTGAACCCAGGAGGCGGAAGTTGCCGTGAGCCGAGATCACACCACTGCACTCCAGCCTGGGTGACAAAACAAGAGAGAAACTCTGTCTCAAAAATAAATAAATAAATAAAAAATGAAAGAAAAATAAAAAGAGAAGTTTGAAACAGGGATCACATTGGCCTTGACTGTCCAAATCCTTCCAAGCAAGGAATTTAAAAACCAACAAATGAATCCTATTTCCCCTTCAGGGCAACCACGTGATTCGATGAAGCAAACATAGAGATACGGGAAGGAATATCCCTTAACGGATTTTTAAATTGTTCATCCAAAAGCTTATTGGTCCTGAAATGACCCTTAACCACATTTGTCAGTGGATTCTCAGTAAATTACCACATATCAAAAAAATTTCCTTTAACCTATAAAGTATGCTCCCTCTTTTTTTTTTTTTTTTTAATGCAGTTTGACATATCTCTTCAGGTTTGCTTTTGCATCTGGCTTACAGTCTTGCTGAAAAACTGCCTGGAAGCTACAGACACATGAGCAAGCAGCAGTAGAAACTGCCTTGGAGCAACCACATGTGTGTGCGCACACACACAATCTCTCCAAGTGCAGCTACCAAACTGAAGTCTCCTTGAATTCCCAAGACTAATGAGGAGCCTCTGGCTTTGTCCTCTTTCCCATGCCCCTCCAAATCCATCACGGATCATGTGTATGGAAACTAGAAGAGTGGCCAAAACCTCTACAAACTGGCTGATGTAGTTTCAAGCTGTCAAATCTTTTCTATGCTTTCCCCGCCCCCCCCTCCTTAAAAAGTGGGTCCACAGCAGTGCCATGTATTTTCATGTGGCTGCAGATTCAAAGTCTTTCCTGAACCCGGAATCCCTGTAGGCCAGGGCCAAAGGTGAAGCTTGAGAGGGCACAAAGAATAAGCCCTGTGCGTCATCCACATCACCTCCAGCCCAAGACACCCACACCCAATGGGCCACTCCAACAAAACCCATCTGCTGACCCAAGGGGCTGCATCCTCCTTCTGCAGCCCAGTCACCTTGTAGCACGGAGATGGGGTCACCCTCTCCCCTTGCACATTGCTTCTTTCAGATGATAGCCATTGTCACATGTATAGAGGGGTACACAAGAAACAACACATGTTTTCACCGAGATTCACATTCCTCTTACCCTCAAAGAGCATGGCACAAAATAAAATTAAACTGTGATCTAAAATGGGAACAAAGTTTTTACTGGTGGAAGATGCAAAGCTGTTGCAGACAAAGAATCTCAAGGGCAGACCCTCCTTCTTAGAGAGCATTTCTCCCTGCCTGTGCTCTTGGGGCTGGAATTGAAGTCTGTCCACCTTCTGGTCACTGGTACTGCCTTCTGGAAAGTCTGCACCCAAACCATCTCCAGCTAAACCATTTTCTTCCCTCTTAGGGTCCTCCAACAGCCTTGGAAGCCTAAAGAAATGCTTGTTCCAATGGGTGATCCATACACAGCTGTACCGGACTGTCCGTAGGCTCTTCCCGTTTTTTTCTGATTTTTATATGCTCTGTAAGTTAACTTCTCTTTTACAAGTATCTGAGTTTATGGGGTCAATGACGAGGAAATCACTCATTCACTTGTGTTAGCTGCAGGCTCCTGGAAATGGTGGAAAATTTGAACTTGTGTAGAGAAAGCAGACCGGAGCCCACTTCTAAAAGACAGCAGATTTCATGGCCTATGAAATCCTGGCTTCTGAATGCCCAGAGAATGTGGCCCCCACTTGCTTGCCAGATTCAGGCCCCCTCTCTCTTGTCAAGGTTGGACTTCTTCCCAGATCCTCTCTCCTACAACCTCGAGGCTGCATCTCAGAGACAACACAGTGAAGCCTCTGAGAGCCGTTGAGCACTGAAGTTCTTCTAAGAGGATGCAACAAAACTTTCACCACTCAGCACCAGGAGCAAGCATTTCCTATTCATCTGTTCCTGCAGGGACATGGTCTCCGAGATGGTCAACTGACTCTCCAGACATACTATAAATGGGCTAATGCCGAGTAATTTTTTTGCCCTTTCATGTCATCACATGTAGATTTCTCCAAAGCTATTAAAAATAAATTGTTTGGCCAGGTGTGGTGGCTCACGCTTGTAATCTCAGCACTTTGCGAGGCTGAGATGGGCGGATCACCTGAGGTCAGGAGTTTGAGACTAGTCTGGCCAACATGGCGAAACCCCAACTCTACTAAAAACACAAAAATTAGCCGGGTGTGGTGGCAGGCGCCTGTAATCCCAGCTACTCGGAAGGCTGAGGCAGGAGAATCGCTTGAACCCGGGAGGCAGAGGTTGCAGTGAGCTGAGATGGTGCCACTGCACTCCAGCCTGGGTGACAGAGCAAGACTCCATCTCAAAAATAAATAAATAAATAAAATTGTTCACCCTCCAAGATGCCCTGACTTAAAAGTCAACATGTACAACTTATTAATTAACACAGTCCTTGGCATTAGAGACTCATTATGCTGGAGCTACGGTGATAATCTAATTTTTCATGAAAGGACACATGTAATTGTGGGAGCTCTGCATGTCTAGGCCACAGCAAAATCATTTTGTGCTCCTTTTTGTATCTGTCAGATTAAATCATATGAGAGGCCTTGGCTGGTCTGTCAGCTGCCCCAGAGCTCATTCTGGCTGTTTGACTGAGGGCTCTGAGTGAAAGCTCCCCACGTTGCAAATGGCTGGCCTCTCTCTACTGCTGGATTCTCCTTGGAGGAAAATCTTCCATGGGAACTGGGTAGGATTCTGTGTTGCTTTGGCAGCAACTGCAGAATGATTAACATGGCACTGGGGAAACTGTATATAAAAGGATATGGTAGCACTCCCGTCCTCTTCCTCTTCCTACTCAGCAGGAGAAGACGCTTTGCAGCTGATCAAACTGTCCCCACCATCACCATCACTGTCACTTGTACTGAGGCCATATGGACCAGGTATGGCGCTGACACTTCACACATCCTCACAACAGCCCTAGTTTTCAAATAAAGGAACTGAAGATGGGGGAGGTTATTTGTTCTAGGTTACATGGCTGGTAAATGACATGATTGAGACCCCAGTCCTGTTCAGTTAAGCCCAGACATGGAGCTTGGCTCTGCCTACTGAAGCGCTCTCAGTCTCCATGCTTCTGTCCTTTCCCACTGTCAAGACCCTCCGACACTACCGTCTGTCACTAAGACCCACGGGCCCCTCGGCCACTGTCCTGCCTTGCTCCGAGAGTACCAGGCTCCAGCTAACACCCCTCCAAGGTTCTTTTGATACTCGAGAGCCAGTGGTGATATGGTTTGGCTTTGTGTCCCCACCCAAATCTCATCTTCAATTGTAATCCCATAATCCCCATGGTGGGAGGGACTCTGTGGAAGGTAACTGAATCATGGGGGCAGTTCCCCTATGCTATTCTTTTTTTTCTTTTTTCTTTTTAGACAGAGTATCCTTCTGTTACCCAGGCTGGAGTGCAGTGGCACGATCTCAGCTCACCAAAACCTCCACCTCCCGGGTTCAAGTGATTCTCATGCTTCAGCCTCCCGATTCGCTGGGATTACAGGCATGCACCACCATGCCCGCCTAATTTTTGTATTTTTAGTTGAGATGGGGTTTCACCATGTTGGTCATGCTGGTCTGGAACTCCTGACCCCAAATGATCCACCTGCCTCGGCCTCCCAAAGTGCTGAGATTACAGTCGTGAGCCACCGCATCCGGCCCCGACCATTCTATTCTCGTGATAGTAAGTTATCACGAGATCTGACGGTTTTATAAGGGGCTTCCCCCTCCTCTTAGCTCCCATTCGTCTCCTTCCTGCCGCCATGTTAAGAAGAATGTGTTTCCTTCCCCTTCCGCCATGACTGTAAGTTTCCTGT
This sequence comes from Homo sapiens, assembly GCF_000001405.40. Classification (NCBI taxonomy): domain Eukaryota; kingdom Metazoa; phylum Chordata; class Mammalia; order Primates; family Hominidae; genus Homo; species Homo sapiens. Next base: position 30,787,234 of record NC_000022.11, on the reverse strand, counting down.
GGCCTCCCCAGCCATACTCAACTGTGAGTCTATTAAACCCCTTTCCTTTATAAATTACTTAGTCTTGGGTATGTCTTTATTAGCAGTGTGAGAACGGACTAACACAGGTGGAGAATCTGACTGGTAAGACCTTTCCTGACCGGGCACAGTCGCTCACGCCTGTAATCCCAGCACTTTGGGAGGCCGAGACAGGCGGATCACCAGGTCAGGAGATCGAGACCATCCTGGCTAACACAGTGAAACCGTGTCTCTACTAAAAATACAAAAAATTAGCCTGGTGTGGTGGCACGTGCCTGTAGTCCCAGATACTTGGGAGGCTGAGGCAGGAGAATCGCTTGAACCTGGGAGGCAGAGGTTGCAGTGAGCCGAGATTGCACCATTGCACTCCAGCCTGGGCAACAGAGCAAGACTGTACAAAACAAAACAAAACAAAACACCTTTCCTGATGCATGTTTTGCCCTGCTAGTCTCTCCAGCCTCATCTTGAGGCATCCCCACCCCACCCCACCCCACCCCCACCCTCTGCTCCTGCCACCAATGAGGTGTCTTTAGCTCTCTGAACAGCCAGGATCTCCCCAACCTCTGGGCCTCATTTTCAATTGTACTCCTCCTATCTTCAACAAGTGAATTCCTCCTCACCCTTTAGATCTCAGCTTACATATCACCTCCTCTAGGCAACCTTCCCGACCCTCAAAACTGGGCTAGGTGCCTTTCACCATGGTGAAGCATTGGGCCATTGCATCATGATTTTGTATTGGTTTGTCTGTCTCCCCACAGCAGGCAGTGGGGTCTCTGGCAGGTGTCATTGATTTTTGTTTTCCATGACTCCTCACCTCCTAGTGCTGTCTGGCACAGAGAGATGTACAGTCAATATTTATTGTAAATATTAACTGACTTAAAATACACTAACTGAGGCTGGGTGCAGTGGTTCACACCTGAAATCCCAGCACTTTGGGAGGCTGAGGCAGGTGGATCACTGGAGGTCAGGAGTTCGAGACCAGCCTGGCCAACATAGTGAAACTCCATCTCTACTGAAAATACAAAAAATTAGCTGGGTGTGGTGGCACACGCCTGTAATCCCAGCTACTCGAGGTTGAGACAGGAGAATTGCTTGAACCTGGAAGGTGGAGGTTGCAGTGAGCCGAGATTGTGCCATTGCACTCCAGCCTGGGTAACACAGCGAGACTTCTGTACACACACACACACACACACACACAAACTGTATTAGTCCATTCTCATATTGCTATAAAGATACTACCTGAGACTGGGTAATTTATAAAGAAAAGAGGTTTAATTGACTCACAGTTCTGCATGGCTGAGGAGGCCTCAGGAAACTTATAATCATGGTGGAAAGCAAAGGAGAAAGAAGCACCTTCTTCACAAGGCAGCAGGAGAGAGAGAGCAGGAGCATAGGGAAGTGCCAGACACTTATCAAACAACCAGATCTCATGAGGACTCATTCACTATCACTGGAACAGCAGGGGGGAAATCTGCCCCCATGATCCAGTCACCTCCCACTAGCTCCCTCCCTCGATATGTGGGGATTACAATTTGAGATGAGATTTGGTGGGGATATAGAGCCAAATCATATCACTAACCTCTATAAAATTTAGCAAGAAAGCAAACTTTCTAAATCAGAAAGATTAAGCCTGTTTTTTTTTTTTTTTTTGAGACGAAGTCTCACTCTGTCACCCACACTGGAGTGCAATGGCGCGATCTTGGCTCACTGCAACCTCCACCTCCTGGATTCAAGTGATTCTCTTTCCTCAGCTTCCTGAGTAGCTGGGATTACAAGCACCAGCCACCATGTCCAGCTAATTTTTTTTTTTAGTAGAGATGGAGTTTCACCATGTTGGCCAGGCTGGTCTCAAACTGCCGACCTCAGGTGATCCACTTGCCTTGGCCTCCCAAAGTGCTGGGATTACAGGCATAAGCCACTGTGCCGGGCCGGAAAGATTAAGCATTAATGGGTGCAAGGTACTCTCTGCTCCAAAACAGGGCCCACATTACATTGGTTACAGAGGAAAGTTTAAATCTACAATTAAAATGTAATACCAAACAAAATCCCAATGAGGTATTTTTAATACAACTTAAGCTGATTCTAACATTTACATGGAAGAGAAAACTCCAGTACATTTTAAAAATTAAAGAACAGTAAAGGAGGCTGGGTGCAGTGGCTCACACCTGTAATCCCAGCACTTTGGGAGGCCAAGGTGGGCAGATAACCTGAGGTCAGGAGTTCAAGACCAGCCTGGCCTACGTGGTGAAACCTCATTTCTACTAAAAATGAAAAAAGTTAGCCAGACATGGTGGTGCATGCCTGTAATCCCACCTACTCAGGAGGCTGAGACAGGAGAATCGCTTGAACCTGAGAGGTGGAGGTTGCAGTGAGCTGAGATTGTGCCACAGCACTCCAGCCTGGGCGACAGAGCAAGACACATCTCAAAAAAAAAAAAAATGAGGAGGATTTATTCTACCAGCTGTCAAATTATATTATAAAGCTACAGTAATTAGGCACAGGAATTGATAAAATGTCAGTGAAGACGAGTATTCAAAATCAGAGTAAATGCTATTGAGAAAATCAGATACACTTTTAGAAAACATAAAAATTAGATGCCTTTCTCACAACTTGCAGAAAAACAAATTCCAGAAGGATACAATTAAAAGCATACTTGTCAACTGGGCACGGTGACTCATCCCTGTAATCTCAGCACTTTGAGAGGCCAAGGTAGTGGGATCACTTGAGCCCAGGACTTTGAGACCAGCCTGGGCAACATAGCACGACCTCGTCTTTAAAAAAATTTTTTTTTTTTAATCAGCCAGGCATGGTGGCATGTGCCTGTAGTCCCAGCTACTCAGGAGGTTGGGGTGAGAGGATCACTTGGGCCTAGGAGGTCAAGGCTACAGTGAGCTGTGATCATGCCACTGCACTCCAACTTGGGTGACAGAAACCCTGTCTCAAAATAATAAATAAATTAATAAATAAATAAATAAATCACACTTGTTGAATGGTTCCTTCTTTTCCAAGTGATTTGAATGGTACTTTTATCACTAAGTGAATTCCTACAAATACATAAATCTGTTTCTGGAGATGCCATTCTAGTGCTAAGAATGAAAATCTAGGATTTGTATCTGCAGTATTTTAAAAAACAGAGGCCTCTATGAAACTACCCACTCAGGACAGGACCATAGAAACCTACGTCAATCGTAAAGATGCCATCCCTGCTTCTGAAGCCTCTTCCTGGAAGGAAACAATCATTCTGCAGATACATGCTGAAGGCCACTTTCAAGTAACACGGTCCCAAGTGATTACAATGGGCATTTCCCAGACCCAAGCTCTCCTCTTCAGCACCAGTTGGTTTACCTAACTAGGCATTGCCCTAGGAAGCTTCCAGGGTCAAGGGGCAATGTTGCGAGCAAGAGCGCCAGGTTGAGAAGAGGCACATTTGCATCAAGGTGTCATGGTTTTTCTATTTCTAAGAAATCGCCGTAAGTTGCGTTCTTATGCCAGCATTCCCAACGGCAAAGCTTTTACATGACCAGGCAGATTTGGGAAGCAATAGTATTATCGGTATTGCAGTTATTAATTTATGTTTAGACAAAATATGCTCTCTGGCCTGGCGTAGTGGCTCACGTCAGTAATACCAGCACTTTGGGAGGCCAAGGTGGGTGGATCACTTGAGATCAGGAATTCGAGACCAGCCTGGCCAACATGGTGAAACCCCGTCTCAACTAAAAATACAAAAATTAGCCGGCCATGGTGGCACACACCTGTAGTCCCAGCTACTTGGGACTGAGGCAGGAGAATCGCTTGAACCCAGGAGGTGGAGGTTTGGAGGCTGCAGTGAGCTGCAATCACACCACTGCACTCCAGCCTGGGCAACAGAGCAAGACTCTGTCACCAAAAAAAAAAAAAAAAAAAAAAAAAAAAAAGCTCTCTGAATGAGACTCCCTGCCTCTGAGATGTGGTATTTTATGTCTTCGGGGAATGAAAACAGGCAGAACCTGAGAGGCAAGATCCTGTGTCTGCAGTGAGCTGCCTTCACTAAATTCCCCGAGATACCAATGAATAGGACCATATGCACACAGGTTCCTGGGCAATTGCCCTGTGATTCTCCCTGTATACACAATAATTTGCCTTTTCTCCAGAAAAAAAAAAAAAAAAAAAAAGCCACAGGTTCCCTACTCTTTGAAGCAGAAAGGACATAACAGACACTGTCATGTCTGAGAAAACATACAATCATTTTTGAAAGGCAAAATAAGTATTGCTCATCAGGAGAACCTGTGTTTGACACTTCCTCGGGTTGTCCTGGGATGGCTGATTCTGTCCCCCAGCCTGGGACATTGTCACACTGCTTATGGGAATGTCAAATGGTGTAATCACTTTCGAAGATGATGTGGCAATTTCTTAAAAAGTTAAACATATATGTACCCTGAGTCAGCCATTCTATTCCTAAATATTTACCCAAGATAAAAAAACGTGTATGTCCACAGAAAGATTTGTATGCAAATGTTCACAGCAGCTCTGTTATGGCCGAACCTGGAAACAACTCAAATGTCCATCCACAGGCAACAGATAAATACACTGTGGTGCGTCCACACAATGGAACACTACTCAGCAATAAAAAGCAACACACTAGTGACGCAGGCAACAACACAGATGGATTTCAAAACAGTTACACTGGGTGACAAAAGCCAACTAGAGTACTTGCAGTACAATCCCATTTGTATGAAATCCTAGAAAATGCAGCCGGGCGCAGTGGCTCACGCCTGTAATCCTGGCACTTTGGGAGGCCGAGGCAGATCACCTAAGGTCAGGAATTCGAGACCAGCCTGGCCAAGATGGTGAAGAAAAAAAAAGAAATCCTAGAAAATGCAAACGATCACACAAGAAAGTAGATTAGTGGTTGTCTGCAGGAGGTGGAAGGGGCTGAGGAGGAATTACAAAAGGGCATGAAGAGAATTTGGAATGATGAATGTGTACATTATCTTGATTGTGGTGATGGTTTCATGGGTGCATAAATGTCAAAACTTATCTGACTGTACACTATAGGCAGTTTACTGCTTGCCAGTTATGATTTTTTGATTTTGAGACAGAGTCTCACTCTGCCGCCGTGGCTGGAGTGCAGTGGCGTAATCTCGGCTCACTGCAACCTCCACCTCCTGGGTTCAAGAGATTCTCCTGCCTCAGCCTCTCAAATAGCTGGGAATACAGGTGCCCACCACCACGCCTGGCTAACTGTTGTATTTTTATAGAGATGGGGTTTCACCCTGTTGGCCAGGCTGGTCTCAAACTCCTAGCCTCAAGTGATCCATCCACCTCGGCCTCCCAAAGTGCTGGGATTATGGGCATGAGCCACTGTGCCGAGTCTATGACTTTGGTTTTTAAGACATGGATTGAAAACAAAAAGAGTGGTTGTCCATCAGGAAACTCTACATTTCCCACATCCTCCAGCTGGGACAATCACTGCAAGCCTGTTGAGACTGGAGGCCCAGAACCTTCCTGTGGTCAGACCTCCTGTCTCCTGCTAGAAACCCAGTGTTCTCTTGGCTCACTCTGCCACCAGCCCCCACCTTCCCCTACTGGGCAGATGCGGCTCCCTGGTCAGCCCATTTGAGTCCACTCAGGGCCACCATTCACATCCCCTGGATCTTTGCAGGAAGCAGAGGTATATCAGATAGGATTCCATTTGTGATCGCACATCACCCTCTCAAGCTGGTGTTCCTGCGTCTCTCCACAAACACACACACCTCAGGCTGGGGCCTGAGCCACAGGACAAATGACTCAGTGTGTGGCATGAACCAGGGCATTAACTAAAGTCAGGAATGGCTGCCTTGGGGAGCAGGATGGAAAGAGAGGAAGGTGGGGGGAGCAGGGCTGCTGCTTTTTGAGAGAAGCATGACTTCCATACTCCCTTGTATGTGTATGAGTGGATGTAAAAAACAAAAACATCGGCCGGGTGTGGTGGCTCATGTCTGTAATCCCAGCACTTTGGGAGGCCGAGGTGGGTGGATCACCTGAGGTCAGGAGTTCAGGACCAGCCTGCACAACATGGTGAAACCCCATCGCTACTAAAAAAAAAAAAAAAAAAATTAGCCAGGCATGGTGGCGGATGCCTGTAATCCCAGCTACTTGGGAGGCTGAGACAGGAGAATTGCTTGAACCCGGGAGGTGAAGGTTGCAGTGAGCCGAGATCACGCCACTGTACTCCAGCCTGAGTGACAACAGCGAAACTCCGTCTCAAAAAAAAAAATTTTAAATATTAAAATAAAAACTGTACATGAGGCACAGAACCTTCTGTGGTCAGGCCTCCCACCTCCTGGGAAAGCCCAGCTCCCTGGTCACCCCACTGGAGGTTTTTACATTTGAGTCGTTTGAAACACCAGACCTTAGATCCACAAATGCCAAAGGAGTTCAATTTAAACAGTTTAGTTGTAGGCCAGGTGGGGTGGCTCACTCCTGTAATCCCAACACTTTGGGAGGCCAAGACGAGCGGATCACCTGAGGTCAGGAGTTCGAGACCAGCCTGGCCAGCATGGCAAAACACTGTCTCTACTAAAAATATAAAAATTAGCCAGGTGTGGTGGCGGGCGCCTGTAATCCCAGCTACTCGGGAGGCTGTGGCATAAGCATTGCTTGAACCCGGGAGGTGGAGGTTGCAGTGGGCTGAGATCGATCCACTGTACTCCAGCCTCAGCAACAGAGTGAGACTCCATCTCAAGAAAAACAAAAAACAAACAAAAAACAGTTTAGTGAAGTCTTAGTAGCCTGGGTGCATTACAACAATGTGGAAAATGCCAGAGTCACAGAGCTGTGACATTTACTCCGTGTCATGCGTGTCGGGTTCTTTATACGTAGCAGGGGCTGAGGAAAACTCACGGATGAGGTCGACTCCTCAGCAGCTGTGGCATGGATGAAATTTTTCACAGGACATGCTACTGGATCTTCACCGTGCCACATTCTGAGAGGAAATGGATCACTGTGGCATATCTGCAGCAGAAGCATTAGCACTGGGGTGCAGGAAATGGTACGAGGCAACTCGTGGTTTTCAAATAATGCTGAATAACAGTGCCTTTCTGCTCGCCCGGGGCTGTGGGCCCCTCAAGGACTGAACACTCAGCCTGAATGATCCTTCAGTTCTGGCATCTTGATTTGGCTTTGAATTGACTACAAATAGATGAAAGGTTTTTGCTTCGTACAGAATGAGAATCTGTCTGGCACACATGAAATACACATCTAAAAGGAAAAACAATGTGGAAAGGAACACCAAGGGGCAACAGACAGCCTGAGGAGGGAAGACAAGCTGTGGGGAGAGAGACACAAAGGGCAGGGGCTGCCCAGGTGGGCCAGGGTGGGCAGCAAGGACCAGCCTTCACCGGGAGAAAGACCACCCAGCCACCAAAAGGGCCGAGGGTTCTCCGTGTCCCCACACCTCAAGCATGAGGCTGGACCCCTCCTTTGTCCCCTCAGCTCTATTTCTACTTCATTCTGGAAAGGAACTGAGGATACTTTGAAAAAAAGGTACTTCTTTTCTCTCTGGCGCTTTCTCAGTGAAGGGCAAATGTGGGTTCTTGTCACTTGGGGTTACTTCGTCCAGCTCCTGCAGCTGCAAGTGTATCCAGGAAGGGAAGGGAGGCCAAGTGGCTGAGGCAGGAATGTGCTAGGTGACCATACCGCCCAGGACCACCCTCTGGAGGCATTTGCAAATGTCCCCATCCAAAAAACATGAGCCCTCAGTATATGAATAATGGTTTATAGATTTTATATATATGTTGTACTAGTTGACTTACACTTTATGTATATTATACAACATATATAAAAACCAAAATTTTAAGGCCAGGCATGGTGGCTGATGCCTGTAATCCCAGCACTTTGGGAGGCAAAGGCAGGCAGATCACCTGAGGTCAGGAGTGCAAGACCTGCCTGGCCAACATGGCAAAACCCTGTCTCTACTAAAAATACCAGAAAAAAAAAAAAAAAAAAAAATTAGCTGGGTGTGGTTGTGGGCGCCTGTAATCCCAGCTACTCGGGAGGCTGAGGCAGGAGAACCACTTGAACCCGGTGGGCAGAGGTTGCAGTGAGCCGAGATCAGGCCACTTCACTCCAGCCTGGGCAAAAAAGCGAAATTCTGTATCTATCTGTATATATATACACCAAAAAACTTTAAAAGATAAAATTAAATCAGTATTTTTTTTTTTTGAGATGGAGTCTCCTTCTGTTGCCAAGGCTGGAGTGCAGTGGGGCAATCTCGGCTCACTGCAACCTCTGCCTCCCAGGTTCAAGCGATTCTCTTGCCTCAGCCTACCAAGTAGCTGGGATTACAGGTGCCTGCCAACATATCTGGCTAATTTTTGTATTTTTAGTAGAGATGGGGTTTTACCTTGTTGGCCAGGCTGCTCTTGAACTCCTGACCTCAAGTGACCAACCGGCCTCAGCCTTCCAAAGTGTTGGGATTACAGGGGTGAGCCACTGTGCCCGGCCATAAATCAGTTTGAATAGAACTTCTAATGTTTTCATCTCGTACTGCAGTGGGTATCTTTTGCCTTCCTGGGGAGGCACTCACTTCTATTTTTTAAAACAACTGGGCTAGAGGACAGGGGAAATCAAGAGCCACAATATCATTCACATCCACTACCCAATAGAATTTTCCCTAGGAAAGTGTTACCAACAAAAGGGAGCTCCAAGCATGGACATGGCAGTGGGTGTTATAACAGGCCATAACCGCAGGCTGCTCAAGTGTCCAACCACTGGACGGCAGGATAAGAAAACTGGGGCCAGGCTCTCCACAGAGCAGAAGCAAAAGCAGAAAGTGACAACAAAAACTGAAGAGCAGCCAGCATGCTGATGCTGGAATGCCCAGGGAAAGGAGAACACGGTGGTGGCCACAGCGCTGTCAGTGGGTGTGTGTGTGTGTGTGTGTGTGTGTGTGTGCACATGCACACGGGCAGTATGAGCAGGTCCCAAAGAAACAGCAATGGCTAGGATCATGGCATTGTTTTTATTTCACCATGGCCTGGCCAACATGTTGAAACCCCATCTCTACTAAAAAAAAAAAAAAAAAAAAGGGCAAAAATTAGCCGGGCATGCTGGTGCATGCCTGTGGTCCCAGCTACTTGGGAGGTTGAGGCACAAGAATCTCTTGAACCCGGGAGGCAGAGTTGCAGTGAACCGAGATTGCACCACTGCACTCTAGCCTGGGTGACAGAGTGAAACTCTGTCTCAAATAAATAAATAAATAAAATAAGCTCCTTTAATGTCACTATAACATTTTTAATAGCATAGAAAATCAAGTTGAAGTGAATAGTGGAGGATCATTTTTTTCACCAATTCCTTCTTCCTCCCTCTCCTCCAAAAGACAGAGCATCGATTTCCTCCCACTGGCTTCCTGGGCTTCCAGACTGATGAGCACGTGTGTGAACCAGCCCAGCTTCACTAATAGGGCTTTCTGTCTGCCTATTCTCCCCAGCTGCTGCCATCACTCTCCCTGACTGCTCCTGGCCCTCCCTTAGCAGGAGGGCTGCATGCGCTGTCACTGTGGGCACTATGGCATTTTTCTCCAGCATCTGGTTATCAAGCAATGGCCTTGAGCTGCTACTGCATCTGGGAGACCCTCAGTCCAGTGTGACCAGGCATTTCTTTACAGATGGAAGAGTAGTTGTATTAGTCCATTTTCACACTGCTGATAAAGACATATCCAAGACTGGGAGACTTACAAAAGAAAGAGGTTCAATGGACTTACAGCTCCACGTGGCTGGGGAGATCTCACAATCATGGTGGAAGGTAAAAGGCACGTCTCACATGGCAGCAGACAAGAGAAGATAACTTGTGCAGGGAAACACCCCTTTTTAAAAACCATCAGATCTCGTGATACTTATTCACCATCATGAGAACAGAACAGGAAAGACCCGTTCCCATGATTCAACCACTTCCCACCGGGTCCCTCCCACAACATGTGGGAATTCAAGATGAGATCTGAGTGGGGACACAGCCAAACCATATCATCCCACCCCTGGCCCCTCCCAAATCTCATGTCCTCACATTTCAAAACCAATCGAGCCTTCCCAACAGTCCCCCAAAGTCTTAATTCATTTCAGCATTAACTCAAAAGTCCACAGTCCAAAGTCTCATCTGAGACAAGGCAAGTCCCTTCTGCTTATAAGCCTGTAAAATCCAAAGCAAATTAGTTACTTCCTAGATACAATGGGGGTGCAGGCATTGGGTAAATACAGCCATTCCAAATGGGAGAAATTGGCTAAAACAAAGAGGCCACAGGCCCTATACAAGTCAAATCCAGTGGGGCAGTCAGATCTTAAAGCTCCAAAATGATCTCCTTTGACTCCAGGTCTCACATCCAGGTCACGCTGATGCAAGAGGTGGGTTCCCATGGTCTTAGGCAGTAGTGGTACTTTTACTTGAGCTAGGGGAAAGGATTAACGTGAATATTTCCAGGAAGTATCTTCCCTTAACTAAGCCATGCATTTTCTGCCAAGGGGAGTGTAAACTGGAACAACATTGATGGAGGATAACTCAGCAACAGTATCAAAATGTGAAGCATGCACTTGACCCAGCCATCCCTTTTCTAAGAATTTACCCTTAGGAAATAATCACACCAGTTCCAAAAAAAGAAAAGGAAAAAAAAAAAAGTGAGCACAGAAATGCTTGTCCCAGTGCCTTCTGTTGATAGTAGAGAAATATTGCCAACAACCAGAATGCAACTGAATGAACTGGCAAACATTTTCAAAAATGTTTCAGCGAAGTACACTGTATCTATTTAATGAAATATCATGCACCATTAACAGTGATATTTATTAGGCCAGGTGCAGTACTCACACCTATAATCCCAGCATGTTGGGAGGCAGGGGCGGGCAGATCGATTGACCTCAGGAGTTGGAGACCAGCCTGGGCAACATGGTGAAATCCCATCTCCACTAAAAATAAAAAATTAGCCAGGCATGGTGGCATGCACCTGTGGTCCCAGCTACTTTGGAGGCTGAAGTGGGAGGATTGCTTGAGCCCAGAAGGTGGAGGTTGCAGTGAGCTGAGAACACATCACTGCACTCCAGTCTGGGTGACAGAGTGAGACCCTGTCTCAAGAAAAGAAAAATAAAAAAAAAAAAAAGAAAAGAAAAAGAAAAATGAGTCTGGGCACAGTGGCTCACCCCTGTAATCCTAACACTTTGGGAGGCTGAAGTGGGAAGATCACTAGAGGCCAGGAGTTCAAGACCAGCCTGGACAACATGGCAAAACCCCATCTCTACTAAAAATACAAAAATTAGCCAGGTGTGGTGGTGCCTTCCTATAGTCCCACTACTCGGGAGGCTGAGTCAGGAGAATCACTTGAACCTGGGAGGCAGCAAGTTGCAATGAGCAGAGATGGCGCCACTGAACTCCAGCCTGAGCAACAGAGCAAGACACTGTCTCAGAAAAAAAAACAACCTCCCCCCCAAAAAAATCTTATGTACCCATAAATATACACACCTATATGTGCCCACAAAAATTAAAAATTGAAAACAACAATATTTATAATTAGGTATTTGAACAATGATATTAAAGAATTGTGATTTCAGGTAGGATCGTGGTCTTGAATTTATGAGTTATTTTGTTTGTTTGTTTTTTGAGACAGAGTCTCACTCTTTCACCCAAGCTGGAGTGAAGTGGTGCGATCTCGGCTCACTGCAACCTCTCTGCCTCCCAGGTTCAAGCGATTCTCTTGCCTCAGCCTCCCAAGTAGCTGGGATTACAGACACCCACCACCACGCCCAGCTCATTTTTTTTTTTTTTGTATTTTTAGTAGAGAAGGGCTATCACCATGTTGGCCAGGCTGGTCTCAAACTCCTGACCTCAAGTGATCCGCCTGCCTCAGCCTTCCAAAGTGCTGGGATTGCAGGCATAAGCCACTGCGCCTGGTCGATTTTGTGTTTTTAAAAGACTCCTTGTTTTTTAGAGATACACAGTGAAATGTGCACAGATGGGGTTTGCTGTAAAATAATAGTGGGGAAAGTAGATTAGTGGTTGCCACAGGCTGAGAGAGAGGAAATGGGGAGTCACTGCTTAGTGGGTGCAGGGTTTCCTTTGGAGTGATGAAAACGTTCTGGAGCTAGTCAGAGGTGATGGCCGCGCAACACTGTGAATGTACTAAATGCCTTTAATGGTAAATTCAATGTCGTATGTATTTATCACAATATTAAAATAGTAATAATGGGGGAAATAGGAAGGGCTGAGATGAAATAAGATTGGCCATAATTGAACATCATTGAAAGCTAAGTGATGAGAACGGGGACCATATACGTGTATATCTACATGCATAGAAATGTTAGATCTTTTCCATAATAAAATACTATAAAAAGTGATGCTATCATCTCACATAGTTACTCATTGTTTGGTAACCATTTTATTATCTATTGAATGCCCTAAGTATACATAATAAAATTCATCTTTTTAGAAAAAGTGGTGCCACAGATGTATACTCATTGACATGGAATATCCACAACATATTGTCAAGTTTAATGAGTCAGTTATAAAACCAAATATTGGGATTCTCCCACTGATATAAAATTCTATATCTAGATTGTCCGGAATTCTTGCAGTGAAGATTTAACTGTCATTACTGCTGGGTGAGTAGATTTGAGGGGATTTGCACGGTCTGTGCTTTTCTTTTTCCATCAAATATTTTTACAAAACTTGAAGCGTTTTCTTAAAAGGCAGAAATGTTTAGGGACACACCTTTTGCTCCTAGCATTCTGACTGAAGGGCCCCAAGGTGGTGGCGCATTCATAACACAAACCACTGGCTAGCTTGAGGCCTGGGCACTTAACTCCAATGACAATGCTCTCCACAATGACCGTCACCTCACAGAGGAGTTGAGAAGGGCCCAACTTTATTGTTGGCTACCCCTATAAATGACAACAACTCCAATGGTGATCCTAGGCAAGGCTTTCGCCAGCACACACTCATTTGTCCCCGCAGTGGATGTCAGGTAGGCTAGGGCTGGAACTATCCTTATTTTAGAGACAAGGCAGCTAGAGCTTGGAGGAGTTGGTGGGCTTGCCCAGGTACCACAGCTACGTAGCCAAGGAAGGGCCCAGCCCCCCTGGGGAGTCCAAGCCTTGCCTCCTCTCTCTTATGAGCCACCTCTCATTGGTGGTCAGGACTGTCCTGACCACCCATGACACTGGTCCTCCACTCGGGAGAGGAAGACCATTAAGCATTGATCTTGCATAGGTACAAACTCAGACACCTGTGTTATTACAACAGCCAAGCATCCCTGGCCCCCACTGCGCTTCACACAAATGGCAGCAGCTGGAGGGCTAATATGGTGACTGCCACCGGACTGCCCCTTGCTAAGGACTCCACTGCCCCTGCTGGAGTGCCTCTCTAGCTTAGCTCTCTGGAGTCACCTTGAAGTCCCTCATGGCCTCCCACACTCGGTGATATCCTTTGGAAGGACTTGCTTTTCCAAGATGGCTCTGTGAGGACCCCGAGACTGCTTATCCATGTGGCCCAGAGCCTCTACACCCAGAGCCTGTGGACCAAAGTGACCACTGTGTCTGGCCAGAGCACCAGCGCCCACTTCTCACACTCATTCATTCATGCAGTCTCTCTCTCCCTCCTTCCCTCCCCCATTCCTCCAACAAATAATTCGAGCATGTCTACTCTGAGACAAGCAGGGTGGTAGGCACTGGGCATTCAGTGGCAAGCCAGTTGTCACAATCCCCACCCTCCTGTTGCTATGGATTATCAGGGAAGTCAAACACTAAATAACTGTACAGGTGAATAATCAGTGCAACTAGGGTGGGTGCTATGAAGGAGTTGTATAGCACTCTTTCCACTACGTGGGAAGCTGACCTGGGCTGGGGAGTCAGGAGGGTGTCCTGGATAAAAAGGCATTTAAGAGGCCAGGCACGGTGGCTCACGCCTGTAATCCCAGCACTTTGGGAGGCCTAGTTAGGCGGATCACCTGAGGTCAGGAGTTCGGGACCAGGCACATACCTGTAAGCCCAGCTACTCAGGAGGCTGAGGCAGAAGAATTGCTTGAACCCAGGAGGTGGAGGTTGCAGTGAGCCAAGATCATGACATTGTACTCCAGCTTGGGCAACAAGAGTGAAACTCCATCTCAAAAAAAAAAAAAAAATCGTGTTTAACAGGCTGGGCTCAGTGGCTCATGCCTGTAATCCCAGCACTTTGGGAGGCCAAGGCAGGTGGATCACAAGGTCAGGATTTTGATACCAGCCTGGCCAACATGGTGAAACCCTGTCTCTAATAAAAATACAAAAATTAGCCGGGCATGGTGGCAGGCGGCCTGTAATCCCAGCTACTCGGAAGGCTGAGGCAGGAGAATTGCTTGAACCCAGGAGACGGAGGTTACAGTGAGCCAAGACCACGCCACTGCACTCCAGCCTGGGCAACAGAGCGAGACTCCATCTCAAAAAAAAAAAAAAAAATGCGTTTAACAAGAGCAGCCGTTCCCCGTGTGGTATGTGACACCTCACAGGGCATGGGGCTCATGCCAGCTAACAGCCGAGGTGCTGAGGCCAAGAGAGGCAGAGGACATTACTCAGCTGAGGAGAGGGAAACCCAGACCTCAGAGTGTCCTCAAAGCCAGGCCTAACCAGTCCCAGGCTCGCCCAGAGCCAGCAGGGCTGCTCCTAGGACAGGTAGGACTTGAGGGCTTCTGTGGCCAGGCTCTGAAGGTGACACTTCTGGCTGAGCTCACAAAACATCTCTGCACAGGAGTTCTCTATGACACAGAGCTGCCTCATTCATTACAAGACATCCCACGGGCCAGCCTGGCTTCCCTGCTTCTGGTGCTTAACAGAGACAAGGAAAGATGGGCTCATTTGTGGCTGCAGGTCTTCCACGACAGGCACGGTACCAAGACTCAAGAGCCTAATTAAAATGAATACCCTCATTCCTCAGGAGAGGTTATCTCATTTCTGAGCTAAGTGTTTCTGACCATCTTCTGAAGAAAAATGTAAGGTGGCTGCTGTGGGGGAAGGAAAACCCACCACTCAGTCACTAAAACCAGAGCTCACCCACGGGAGTCCCAACTTGCAGGATCCATCCAGGCTCTCCAGAGGGCAGTGCCTGAGGCCACAGTGAATCGCCAACTCCAGCCTGCAAGGTCAGAGCAGAGCCTGCCGCAGGGGCTTGTCTCTGGCCTGATTCTCTGGCTTGCGGCTGTCTGATGGCCCTTATACCCTTCTCTGCTGTCACCTGGACTAAGGCAGGCTACTGATGTGGCACTGTGCACACCAAACATCTGGGGGCTAGAGAGAATGTTCCTTCTGTGTCTAGGCATTGAGGCCTGTGGACAAGCACAGCCTCTGTCCTTTCCATGGAAGGAGAGCTGGCTCCAAGCCGTGGAGAGCAGGGAGATCATGAAACAGCCAGGTCCTGCCTCTTGCCACAGCCTGAGCCCAAGCCTGAGCCCTTCCCACCTTCAAGCTCAGCCTCAGTTTCTATAGCTAATCCTGATTCAGGTGGAAGCTCTGGACCAATGGTTTTCAAATCATCTGCGGTGGATGGATCTCATGTTGCAAACAGATATCCTTCACCAAAGACCACTGGCCACAGAACAAGGGAAGCAACCTAGGCTGACAAATGAAGACAGCCTGGAGCCCACCTATTGGCACCCCCACTGGCAGGTGGCCCCTACAGAGAAGTACAGTAGCTCACACCAGCCCAAGGCTCTGGAACCACATGGAAGCCTTGGGCTGCAGGTGCCACTGTGTTCAGGTGTGCCATACATGGGCAGGGGCCGCCACTGTGCTGCCAAGAGCCAGCCTCCACTGGACTCAGCCCTTCCTGTGCTCATCAGGCCCTCCCCAGCACCCCAGGTTGCCCCTCTGGAGCCTCTGGAAGCTTCTATGATTCCTGCCTGTGCCCTCAGCAACTTGCCTTGTCTTCCAAAGTTTCTCTTCCACAATCTATGGTTGTCATGCCTGCCTGTCAGCCTGGCCTCCCTCCAGAGGAGGGTCTGAGCCCACCATGGTTCCTTGGCCTGGGCTAGACACAGGTAAGGGGGCAGCCTCAGTGGACATGGAGCCCAAACGACTTTTGCCTGCCCTCCTGCCGATGGCAGGGAGAGGACTAGAGGTGGTCATGGAAGGCTTCTTGGAAGAGACCAAGTCTCAGGAAGAGCCAGCAACGGGGACAGGATTTAAGGCTTCCTCGCTATATATACTTTGGTGGCCCCTCAGGCATGACCTTGCCCTGCTTTGACTTGGGAAGCTGAGGCAGGAGAATCGCTTGAACCTGGAAGGCGGCAAGTTGCAATGAGCCGAGATGACTCAAGCAGCCGCAATGACCATGCTGGATCGGGCCAGGGCAGGGTACCTGCTCTGAGCTGTGCCAGAGCCTCTTACCTAAGAATTTGAAGCTGGAGCCAGAGATGGCAGCCACAAAGCCAGGCAAGAGCCAGGGCAGGCCAGGCCCACCTACAGAACGAAATTATGGAGGAACAAAGAAACCAGGCTACAGAGGGAAAGGACACAGAGGGGACACCGGGAGAGAACCAGAAATGGGGGTGTCAGAGAGAGCAGCTGTGGACACACCTCTCCCCTTGGATGCTCCACTTCCTGCACCCTGAGCACAGGCCCCACTTGTGTTTCAGCCAGTCTCAGCGGGGTTTTGTTCCCTGCCACCAGTTGACCCTGGATAGAAAACCATGAAAAAATAATTTTTAAAAAACTAATTAGTAAAACAGATCCCTGTATGTATTAGTCTATTCTCATCTTGCTAATAAGGAGACACCTGAGACTGGGTAATTTATAAAGGCAAGAAGTTTAATGGACTCACAGTTCCACATGGCTGTGGAGGCCTCACAATCATGGTGGAAGGCAGCCAGCCCGGTGTCTCATGCCAGTAATCCCAGCACTTTGGGAGGCCGAGATGGGCAGATCACTTGAGGTCAGGAGTTCGTCAGCCTGGCCAACATGGTGAACCCTGTCTCTACTAAAAATACAAAAATTAGCCAGGCATGGTGGCACACACCTGTAATCCCAGCTACTCAGGAGGCTAAGGCATGAGAATTGCTTGAACCTGGGAGGCGGAGGTTGCAGTGAGCTGAGATTGCACCACTGTACTCCAGCCTGGGCAACAGAGCGAGACTCCATCTCAAAAAAAAAAAAAAAAAAAATCATGGGGGAAGGTTAATGAGGAACAAATTCACATCGTACATGGCAGCAGGCAAGAGAGCACGTGCAGGGGAACTCCCCTTTATAAACCATCAGATCTTGTGAGACTTATTCACTACCATGAGAACAGTATGGGGGAAACCACCCCATGATTCAATTATCTCCACCTGGCCCCACCCTCAACACGTGGCAATTATTACAATTCAAGGTGAGATTTGGGTGAGACACAGCCAAACCATATCACTGTCTATGGAGGTATATCCAGTGTGGGTAGAAGACATCCCACATGCATGAGACCATCACACACAGATCTGTTGTCAACTAAGGACCTGAGCTGAAGAGCCTGGAATGGTAGTGATGACGACTGGCATTTGGAAGCTGTTCCACGTGCTTCCCTCTCACCTAGACTGTTTTGTATTATTTAATTTAATTTAACATTTTTTTTGTTTTTGAGATGGAGTCTCTCTCTGTTTCCCAGGCTGGAATGTAGTGGCGCAATCTCCGCTCACTGCAACCTCTGCCTCCCAGGTTCAAGTGATTCTCCTGCCTCAGCCTCCCGAGTAGCTGGGACTACAGGTGCGTGCCACCACACCCAGCTAATTTTTGTATTTTTAGTAGAGACCGGGTTTTGCCATGTTGGCCAGGCTGGTCTCAAACTCCTGACCTCAGTGATCTGCTCTTCTTAGCCTCCGAAAGTGCTGGGAATACAGATGTGAGCCACTGTGCCCAGCCTAATTTAAAAAGTATTATTGTTGTTGTTATTTACCCTCACAACCATCTCTTTATGTAGACATTATTTGTCCCTGTGATGGGCAAAGAAATTGGAGCTTAGAGAGGGAGAGGGCCTTGTCCAAAGTTCACACAGTGACTCAACAGCAACGCCAGAATCCCAAATTTTGTGTCCCTTTTATTAAGCCATACTTGTTCATACCACCAGGCATGGTACTGTGATTCAGCAAACTGACCGAGGGGCCCCCTCAGAGCCCAGCTTTCTAGTTCCGTAGCCCAGAATACTCAGCCTCAACCTTTCCATGACCATCTCCAGTCAAAGCTCAAACTGGCAAACTGAAATGCAGGGGGTACCCCAGGGAAACGTCACAGTCCTGCCAGCCTCAGGTTTAGGTCAGGCATCCGGTCTGGACCCCGGGGCCCTCCACCTCTGGATTAGTGACATCCTGAGTTGACAGCCTTGCCTGCATCAGAGTCCGGTGCTCATGCCTACAGATCCACGTGAAGGTTAACACCTAAACAGTAACAAAGAATAAACTCCAATCTGATAATTACAAACGAAAGTGCTATTATGCCCTCTAGTTACAAAGGAAACAATTAGCAATCAAGGTAATTGCCCTAGCAGGAAAATGATGCTTAAACTACCTTAATGGCAATAATGCTCTTGGTTTTTGTTTTTGTTTTTTTTTTTGAGATGGAGTTTCTCGCTCTTGTCCCCCAGGCTGGAGTGCAATGGTGTGATCTTGGCTCACTGCAATCTGGGCCTCCCGGGTTCAAGCGATTCTCCTGCCTCAGCCTCCCGAGTAGGTGGGACTACAGGCATATGCCACCATGCCCAGATAACTTTTATAGTTTTAGTAGAGACGGGGTTTCGCCATGTTGATCAGGCTGGTCTCAAACTCCTGACCTCAGGTGATCTGCCCGCCTCGGCCTCCCAAAGTGCTAGGATTATAGGTATGAGCCACCATGCCTGGCCACAGGAATGTTTTAAACTAGACAACCACTTTTGTTATGCTCTGACCTCTTCATAAGAAGAACCCCCACCCCCAGAGGCGTATTACATAACGCCTACTTCTCTACTGAAATAAGGTGGCCACTTCTGGGCTGGCTCCTGGGCTTGGGTGGCAGGCTAAAGTCCCATGAGGAGGGGCTCAGAACAAATGCTGTCACCCCCAGGGTGAAAATCCAACTCAGTTTCTCTGAGAACTGAACACCAATCTCCTTTGAGCTCTGCACATGCATTCAAACTCACGAGTGACCCATTCACCCTGGGCCTCTTTCAGTTAGCACTGATTTATACAGGTCTCTCAGGGGTAAGCCGCAGCCATCTGTATGGGTCATAGGGTCACATCTAAATCCAAATTGTTCACACCTCCTAAAGAATAAGACCATCATTTTCCTATGCTACTTTCTGGTGGCTCCTTCTTCTCCTAATGTGGATACCTGGGAACTGACTGTGCTCTCACTAGCAACTCCCCAACCCACGCCCCTCACCCTTTACCCTGCAGGGCCCGTGATGAGGCCAAGGGTCAGAAGACACATCTTGCCAACGCCCAGCCCTCCTTCCTTGAGAAGGGCCCGGATCCTCTCCCAACTGAGAGCTGTTAACCTCTCTTTGGTTTCTCTGAACTGAACAGAGCCCAGCTTGGCTGCTGGAAGCACATGTGCGGCCCCTTTCTCAGCCCTCTGCATTCCCTTTTCTACTTCCTGCAAACTCTCTAAGACAGGGAGAGGACTGGCTCCTTTAAATAAACTTCATTCCAACCCACTGTTAATTTGTTAGATATGATCATAGCACTTTGGTTATGTTAAAAAAAAAAAAAAAGGAATTCTGATCTTTTAAAGATACATCCAGACATGTTAACAAATGGGATGCTATGACCTCTGCAATGGGCTTCAAAATGATAGAGACAGAGGAAGAGGATGGAGGCATAGAGACAAGGCTGGCCATGAGCTGGTAGCTGGTAACTGTGGCATCTGGGTGACAGGTATGTGACGATTCCTGAGAGTCTTCTGTTCACTTCTGTTTATTTTGTATAACAACATTTTTTTTTTTTAAGAGAGAGAAAGTCTTGCTCTGTTGCCCAGGCTGGAGTGCAGTGGCGTGACCTTAGCTCACTGAAACCTTTGCCTCCCAGGCTCAAGCAATTCTCCTGGCTCAGCCTCCAGAGTGCCTGGGATTTCAGGTGCGTGCCACAACGCCCGGCTAATTTTTTTTTTTTTTTTTTTTTTGTATTTTTAGTAGAGATGGGATTTCACCGTGTTGGCCAGGCTGATAACAACAGTTAAAAAAAAAAAAAATTAAATCCCATCCCAGAGCTTTTTTTGTAGCATCCTTAAGCCCAACTGTTCTGAGGTTTTTACCTGCACCTCTGTCAATCAACACGTTTACGGAGCAGCAACTATATCCAAGGTGCTGCTAAAGCTGCAAAGAGTGAGCCACTTGGCCCTGACTGCAGTGCGCCCTCAGGATGCACCTCTGTCCTTGACCTGCAGAGTCCTGTCCTCTATTTTATCACAATCCCCCAAAACCTCATTTCCCAGACTGAGCACTGGTTTTTCTCTCTCCCAAAACCAAGATGGGCAGTCAGGTACTCCCCTTCCTGGCCATATGGAAGAGACTGAGTCTAGCTTCCTGTCCCGGCGTCATGGAGGGGAAACATGGACTCCCTCGCTCCTCCCTCAGTCTCACTGGATGAAATGGCCCAGGTGTGAGTCAGGGCAGAGAAGAGTTTGAAGGGAAGAGAGTCTGACCATCTGCTTTTTGGAGGGTTTAGGTGAGGTCAACCAGGCCAAGAGCGTGGAGGGAGGCACTGGCACTACACGGGCTCCAGGCCTGAATGCCTGGACACTGCCAAATGCAAAGGGCTCAAAACTTCAAGAGCACAGAGGCAAGACGACAACTAAAAACCCTATGAACTAGCCTAGATATGTTTATTTGTTCAAAAAGCTGTGTGGTATTATTGGGAAAGCCTAAAGTCATAGCCAGGGAGGAAGGAATTTGCACCTTGAGCTGCTGAGAGATCAAGGAGGCATGGCTGTCCCGCCAGGTACCATTCAATGTTCATTCCAGGCCACCAGAGAAACAGAAACTAGTCCCTTCCATGAGCCATACCCTTCACTACTACCAGTTTTTTGTTTTTGTTTTTAGAGAAAGGGTCTTGCTCTGTCACCCAGGCATGATCATAGTTCACTGAAGCCTTGACCTCCTGGGCTCAAGTGATCGCCCCACCTCAGTCTCTTGAGTAGGTAGGACTATAGGTGTGTGCTACCACACCCAGTTACTATTATTACTTTTTTTGAAAGATGGGGTCTTGATATGTTGCCCAGGCTGCTCTCCACTCCTGGCCTCAAGCGATCCTCCCACTACAGCCTCCCAAAATGCTGGGATTACAGGCATGAACTGCCATGCCTGGCTCCACTATCAGTTTTAATGACCAATAATTCACGCTTATATTCCATTTTCTCAGTTGGGGTGAGAACCATGAAGAGAAAGTCTCTGATGAAGAAAGGGTATAGCACTCCTGATATAGACAGAAGTGGTTTTCTTAGGTAGAGAGAGGGGCTGCACCTAGGCCTAGAAGGCAGGGGCCAAAAACTCAGATACAATGCACTTGATGAACAATAAGGCCCTACACCATCACTTTTGTCTTCCTGGATCCAGCACATTAAATAAATATGTGGAGTAAAGCTGAATTAAACCTCCCTCCAAGAAAAACATGGAATTTGGAGATGGGGGAAGAGAGATAGCAGCAATAAGCAATCCAGGGAGTCTGACAGAGCGGACTGTGCTTCTCAAAGTGAGAAGCTTGGAGGGCTGGCAGGAGCCCTGTGTAGAATGTTTATTATAAAAATGGGGGAAGGTAGGGAGTGGTTGCTCACGCCTGTAATTCTAGCAGTTTGGGAGGCGGAGGTGGGCAGATCACTTGAGGTCAGGAGTTCAAGACCAGCCTGGACAACATGGTGAAACCCATCTCTACTAAAAACACAAAAATTAGCCAGGCATGGTGGCACAAGCCTGTAATCCCAGCTACTGGGGAGGCTGAGGCAGGAGAATCGTCTGAACCCGGGAGGTGGAGGTTGCAGTGAGCTGAGATCGTACCACTGCACTCCAGCCTGGGCAACAGAGCAAGACTCCATTTCAAAAATAAATAAATAAAAATAAAAAATAAAAATGGGGGAGGGCCGGGTGTCTCACACCTGTAATCCAGCACTTTGGGAGGCCGAGGCAGGAAAATTGCCTGAGCCCAGCAGTTTGAGACCAGCATGGGCAACACGGTGAGGCCCTGTCTCTATAAAAAAAATTTAAATTAAATTAAAACAAATAAAAATTAAAATGGGGGTCCCTAGGTGCCATATGACCATCGGATCTGAATCTCAGTGGTCCTGCCCTAGGAATCTGCAGTTTTAACATGCTCCCCCAGGAAGACTTCATGTCCCTCAAAGTAAGAGAGAAGTTATTCAGTTTTCTTTTCTTGTGTTGTTTAATCCATACCAGTCAAATTTTCACTCAAGTGAGTTCATAAGAGAGTTCTTTATACTGTCTGGCCAGCTGGGAGGATGGGGCTTCTCTCCTCCTCAGGACTGAGGGGTCTGAGGGTCAATAGCTTGAATGCACCTATATTTTCCCTTTGTTCTAAGGAGAGCATAACCCTGTTCCCATCCATCTTCTTAGGGAGTGAGGACAGAGGCAGTGGCCACAGAAGAACCTGGATCAGTATCTGCAGGCATTCTCCAAGCCCTAAGGAATGTCTCCCCCAACAAGTAAGAAACACTGTGCTTTGTGAAGTCATTCCTTCAAACGGGAAGAGAGGACTGTTAAGTGGACCAAGCCCACTTGCATCCCCAGGCACACAGGCAGCAGGGTTCCCGAGAGCTGTTTACAGAGCCAGAACAACGCCACACTCCCTGGGAATTTATTTCCACCTCAGTGGGATCACACCCAACAGGAACAGGAGGAAATTCTTCCAAGTCCTACCTGTTAGAGGATTTTCATTTTGGAGCAATAGGGTGGCAGGCTGTCCAGGTATTCTTTAGGGCCAGCCTCTAGGGCCACCAGCCACCCAACCCCCTCCTCATCCCCGCCCACCCCACTCTACTGCCTGCTCTAGTTGCTCTAAGGGCAGAGCCTGGGCTGCCTGGGATAATTCCAAGTGCTGGGCTGTGATATCAGAATAGAGTTATGACATCAATGGAGGGTAGGCGAGCCTAGGGGAGGCGAGAACCGGGGAGCCCCTGAGGCGCTAGGCTAGCCCCCCAGAAGTGAAGGCCCAAGAGGGAGGTGGCCAGCTCTGTATCGGTTTCTTACAAACCTGAACATCAGAAAATGACTCACAGGTACGGAGAGATTTGTTGCAAGCCAGCCAACCTGCTGGTGCTTCCCTAGACACTGAGTTACAGAAAAGAAAGCGAACAAGCCATCTTCTAGCGCCCCCCTGTGTCAAGTAAAAGGATACTATCTCTTTTCTGACTTGGAGGTTTGCCTTTGGACCAGGGAGTTGGGAGCAGAGACCCCAAGTGGGCTGGGGGTCAAGGTCCCCCAGGATAGGGTTAAATGCTCGTAGATAAAATGCAGGATGCCCAGTTACATTTGAATTTCAGACACACAATAAATAAATTTTAGTATATAGACTGCCCAAATATTGCATGAGACATCCTTATACTAAAATATTATTCGTTTTGTATTTGAAGCTCAAATTAAACTGGGTGACCTGTGGGTTTTTTTTTTTTTTTCTGTCACTCTGTTGCCCAGGCTGGAGAGCAGTGGCTCAATCTCGGCTCACTGCAACCTCCACCTCCTGGGTTCAAGCAATTCTCCTGCCTCAGCCTCCCAAGTAGCTGGGATTAGAGGCATGCACCACCACACCTGGATAATTTTTGTATTTTCAGTAGAAACAGGTTTCACCATGTTGGCCAGGCTGGTCTTGAACTTCTGACCTCAAGTGATCTGTCCACTTCAGCCTCCCAAAGTGTTGGGATTACAGGCGTAAGCCACTGCACCCGGCCAACCTGTGTTTGTATATTTTGAATCTGCCAATCCCACTCAAGGAGCTTTTGAAAAAAAATACAAATACCCTCTGCACCCAAAAGTCATTCTCATTCTGTTTTAGCAGGGCAGGGGACTTCTTGGGAACCTGTATTATTTTAAAGCTGCGAAAGTGACTATCAATAACTGCAGCTTACTTTAGTCGAGTGTTTGCCAAGCCGTGTGCCAAGATCTCTTCACACATTATCTAAACTAATCCTCACAGCACCTCTAAGAGTTGGTTCTATCATGAAACCCATTTTACAAAGGAGAGAAATGATGCAAAAGACGGCAAGCAACTTGTCCAAGGTCACACAGTGGGTAAGTGTGGGAGCCACGATTTGAACCCAGGCAGGCTGGCTCCAGCATCTCTGCTTCCACTGACTTAGAAATCTTTGATTGAAGGGACCCTGGGAAGCACAGAATTGAAGCTTCTAGGGGACTGACAAGCGGGGACTCTGAGGCTCTAGGAAGCCCATGCTCAGACTAACTGCTACGCTACCATGCTCGAGGGGCTGAGCCAAGGAGCAAACACCTGGGAGCAAACATCTGGCCCAGGCAGGAGGCTGGCTCAGAGAAGGCTTTCCTGAATGGCCTCTCCCTGGAGGGTAAACAGACTTGAGGAAAATAGGGTGTGGGAAGGGGCTGGATACTAGGGAACAGACCTTGCCAACAAGAGGTACAGCATTCACGCTGGCTGGCAGCAAGATGGTGTGCCAGTGAAGACAGCAGAAGCTGGATGGGTCTAGAGCGCAAGAGGAGCCAGAGAAGAGACATAAATCAAAATTGCATTTTTTTTTTTTGGAGACGGAGTCTTGCTCTGTTGCCCAGGCTGGAGTGCAGTGGTGCAATCTCAGCTCACTGCAAGCTCTGCCTCCTGGGTTCACCCCCTGCCTCAGCCTCCCGAGTAGCTGGGACTACAGGCGCCCGCCACCACGCCCGGCTAATTTTTTGTATTTTCAGTGGAGACAGGGTTACACCGTGTTAGCCAGGATGTCTCGATCTCCTGACCTCGTGGTCCACCCGCCTTGGCCTCCCAAAGTGCTGAGATTACAGGCGTGAGCCACCGCGCCCGGCCCAAAATTGCATTTTATTTTTATTTTATTTTTTATTTTTTATTTTTTGAGATGGAGTCTCACTCTGTCACCCAGGCTGGAGTGCAGTAGTGTAATCTCGGTTCACTGAAACCTCTGCTTCCCAGGTTCAAATGATTCTCTCCTGACTCAGCCTCCAAATAGCTGAGACTACAGTTGCACACCACTATGCCTGGCTAATATTTCTATTTTGGGTAGAGATGGAGTTTCGCCATATCGCCCAGGCTGGTCTCGAACTCCTGGGCTCAAGTGATCCACCCGCCTCGGCCTCCCAAACTGCTGGGAGTATTATAGTTGTATGGTTTACATTTTGAGTTAAATTTTATATAAATAAGAAGTATAAATCAAGATTCATTTTATTGCATATGGATGTCCAATTGTTCCAACACTACTTGTTGAAAAGACTAACCTTTCTCAATTAAATTGTTTCTGCACCTCTGTCAAAAGCCATCTGACCATATTTGTCTGGGCCCATTTCTGGACTCTCCATTCTGTTCCATTAATGTATATGTCTATCTCATTAATCTATATAGTGTTTGCCAACATCACACTGTCTTGTTTCTTTATGATAAGTCTTAAAATTGAGTAATTACTCCACCTTTATTCTTCTTTTTCAAAGTTGCTTTAGCTAGTCTAATTTCTTTATCTTTTCATATAAATGTATAATAAGTTTGTCTATGCTGAGAAAATGTCCTGCTGGGATTTTTTTTGGAATTGCATTCAAGCTACTGATCAGTCAAGGGAAAACTGACGTCTTTACTCTCTTGAATCTTCTGATCCATGAGCATTGTATGTCTCTCCATTTATTTTGGTCTTCTATTTCATCAGTATTTAACACTATTTACATATAGATACTATATTTGTTTTGTTATAATTATATCTAAGTATTTCATGGGGTCATTGTAAGTGATTTTTAAAAATTTTTTGTTACCAATTGTTCATTGCTAATACACAGAAATATGACTGGCCTTTATGTACTGACCTTGTATTCTGTGACCTTGTTAAACTCACTCTAAAAATATTTTTGTAGATTTCCTGGGATTTTTCTACACAGCCATCATGTCGCTTGCAAATAGGGATAGCTCTGTTTCTTTCTTCCCAATCTGAGTGCCTTTGACTTCTTTTTTCTTGCATTATAATACTGGCTAGTATTAGGATGAATATGAGGGGTGAGCATGGACATCCTTGACTTTACTGATCCTAGGCGGAAAGTAAAGCATTCAGTCTTCTATCACTACATATGATGTCAGTTTCTTGAAGATGCCCTTAATCAGGTGGAGGAGTCTCCTAGTTTGCTGAGAGTTTTTACCATGAATAATGTTAAATTTTGTCAAATGCCTTTTTCTGTATCAATTGATATTATAATGTAGTTTTTCTTAGATTGTTAATATTATGATTCCATTTATATTGATTTTCTTTTTTTTTTCTTTTTTTGAGACAGAGTCTTGCTCTGTTGCCCAGGCTGGGGTGCAGTGGTGCGATCTCCACTCACTGCAACCTCCGCCCTGCCAGGGTTCAAGCGATTCTCCTGACTCAGCCTCCTAAGTAGCTGAGACTACAGGTGTGCACCACCATGCCTGGCTAATTTTTGTATTTTCAGTAGAGACAGGGTTTCACCATGTTGGCCAAGCTGCTCTTGAACTCCTGACTTCAAGTGATCTGCCTGCATTGGCCTTCCAAAGTGCTGGGATTACAGGTGTGAGCCACTGCCCCCAGCCCCATTTATTGATTTTCAAACATGGAACCTATCTTGCACCTATCTTGCACTCATCTTGCACTCCTAGCATGAAATCCACTTGATCATGGTGTAATATTCTATTGTATTGCTGGTTTCAAATTGTTAATATTTTGTTGAAGATGTTTTCATCTATGCTCATGAGAAATATTGGTCCGAAGTTTTCTTTTCTTACACTATCTTTGTTCAGTTTGGTATCAGGGTATGCTGTCCTTATAAATGAGTTAGAAATTACTCACTCCTGTAATCCTAGCACTTTGGGAGGCCAAGGCGAGCAGATCACTTGAGGTCAGGAGTTTGAGACCAGCCTGGGCAACAGTGCAAGACTCTGTCTCAAAAAAAAAAAAAAAGCCGGGTGCAGTGGCTCACGCCTGTAATCCCAGCACTTTGGGAGACCAAGGCAGGCGGATCACCTGATGTCAGTAGTTCAGGATGACCCTGGCCAACATGGTGAAACCCTGTCTCTACTAAAAATACAAAAAAAAAAATTAGCTGGGCGTGGTGGCACATGCCTGTAATCCCAGCTACTAAGGAGGCTGAGGGAGGAGAACTGCTTGAACCTGGGAGGCAGAGGTTGCAGTGAGCCAAGACTGCACCACTGCACACTCCAGCCTGGGCAACAGAGCGAGACACTGTCTCAAAAAAAAAAGAAAAGAAAAATTAAAAAAGAAAAGAAATTACTCATTCCTCTTCTGTTTTCTGGAAGAGATTGTGTGGAAATAGTGTTATTCTTTTTTCAAATATTTGATAAAATTTACCTGTGAAATCATGTAGGCCTGAAGACTTCTTTTTTGAAGTGTTTTAAACTATGAATGCAACTTCTTTAATAGTTATAGGATTATTCAGTTTATGGATTTGATCTTGGGCAAGTGTTAGAATTTGATTTTTGAAGAATTGGTTCATTTCATCCAAGTTGTCAAATTTGTCAGCAGAGTTGTCTGTAGCATTCCTTTTATGTATTATGTATCTATTTTATGTTTTTGTAGTATTGTCCTTTTATGTTTGTTAGTGCTATTAA
This sequence comes from Homo sapiens, assembly GCF_000001405.40. Classification (NCBI taxonomy): domain Eukaryota; kingdom Metazoa; phylum Chordata; class Mammalia; order Primates; family Hominidae; genus Homo; species Homo sapiens. The sequence goes on along the minus strand of NC_000022.11, from coordinate 30,759,498 downwards.
TTGTTTATTTCATTCCTGATGTTGGTAATTTGATATTTTCATTTTAGCAGTCTATCAAATAAGTTGGGTTAAGGCCACAGGTAGTGACCAGCCGTCTCTGGGTGGTGGTTTCACTGTTTGTTCCATTTTCAAAGCCTTTGCAGTACTATTTGTTTTTGTTTTTGAGACAGAGTCTTGCTCTGGAGTGCAGTGGTGCAATCTCGGCTCACTGCAAGCTCTGCCTCCCAGGCTCAAGCGATTCTCCTGCCTCAGCCTCCCGAGTAGCTGGGATTACAGGTGTGCACCACCACGCCTGGCTAATTTTTGTATTTTTAGTAGAGACGGGGTTTCACCGTGTTGGCCAGGCTGGTCTCGAACTCCTGGCCTCAAGTGATCCACCTGTCTCGGCTTCCCAAAGTGCCAGGTTACACTGCGCCCGGCCCTTTGCAGTACTAGTTGGATCTGTTCCACATGTGTGCCAGCCAGTGGCCACAGGGACGTGGGTATTCATGCAGCTTTAAGTTCAGTTCTCAAAATCTTTAGTATGCTGTTTAGGATCAGATCCATCCATGTGCGGCTTGAACGTGAAGCCAGGAGTTCATGAAAACAACGTTATGGGGTCACTTTCCCAAGGTGTTCTCTTTCTGTGATTTCCTGTTTTTTTCTGGTTCTCTTGGGCTCTGTTTCAGTCCTCTGGCTGCCCACTTCCCACCACCACACCTATATCGGGGGCTAAGTGGTAGGAAGAGTGAGAGAAAAATGGAACAGGGGTTCCCTCACTTCTTGGGCCCAGAGCTCTTCCTACTGGTGTGCATGGATTCCTCTGAGTTTTTGGTACCTGCAGGCCTCTCATCGCCACTGCTATCACTGACAGGGGACCCTTTCCTCCTTGAGCCTGAACTAGAGGGCTTCTCCAGGAGTTTTCTCTGTCTGCTCACTTCTGGGTCTCCCCTGAGTCCACTCTAGAAGATACTGGAGGGAAAAAATTGTAACCTCACCACCTGTTTGGTGTTACCTCAGATTCTGGTCTTCTCTAGTCTGCTTGTGGCTACTTAATTTTCAGGGTGCTCAAATAGCTGCTCTGTGCATTCTGTCCACATTTTATTTTATTTTATTTTTGAGACAGAGTCTCGCTCTGTCACCCAGGCTGGAATGCAGTGGTGCCATCTCGGCTCACTGCAACCTCTTCCTCCCGGGATCAAGTGATTATCACACCTCAGCCTCCCCAGTAGCTGGACTACAAGCGTGCGCCACCACACCCGGCTAATTTTTGTATTTTTAGTAGAGATGGGGTTTCACCATGTTGGCCAGGCCGGTCTCGAACTCCTGGCCTCAAGTGATCGGCCTGCCTCAGGCTTCCAAAGTGCACGGATTACAGGCATGAGCCACTGTGCCTGGCCCTGTCCATGTTTCATAGCTGCAGAGTGAAACCTTCTCACTTAATCCTACCTGGAACTGGAACTGAGCAGAATTGGATTTTAAAAGACTCACTCTTGCTGTCCAGACTCTGGGAGGTCAGATAGTGAAACTGGGTTGGAGGCCAGGCAGATGGAGGGCAGTGGGCAGATGTGAAAGTGCTCAGGTCTGGCACTGACAGGATCTGCTGACAAGCTGCACATGAGGGATCAGGGAGGGCAGGACTCAAGGTGACACCCAGGTTCACTTCTTAGTCATCTGCCAGGTCTGGAAAGTGACCTGAGACCTTGGCTAGTACAGTTTCAAAGTAGTGAGTGGTGGGTCATATGCAGTGGGAAGAGGCCAGGAGAGAGGTTGAGGCTACAGGAGTGACAAAACAGCAATAAGGCTGGGTGCAGTGGCTCATGTCTGTAATCCCAGCACTTTGGGAGGCCGAGGCGGGCAGACCACTTGAGGTCAGGAGTTTGAGACCAGCCTGGCCAACATGGTGGAACCCTGTCTCTACCGAAAATACAAAAATTAGCCAGGTATGGTGGCACCCACCTGTAGACCCAGCTACTCGGGAGACTGAGACAGGAGAATCACTTGAACCCGGGAGGCGGAGGTTGCAGTGAGCCGAGATCATGCCATTGTACTCCAGCTTGGGCGACAGAGACTCTGTCTCAAAAAAAAAAGAAAAGAAAAGGAAAAAGAAAACAGCGATAAAACCAAGTCCCCCAGCAAGAGGGAGAAAATCACCCTTTGAAGCTGGCACTGCTTCAAAGGGGAGAAATGTCTCCACTGGAATCATTTGGGATTCATATGGCAGGGGGGACGCAGGGAGCGTGTAATGGCAGAGAGCTGAGGGGCTCAGCTGTGGATCTGGTTTTGTTCTATGCATGAGGAAGCAAGATCTTTTGCAGTGTGGCAGGAGGCAGCAGTGAAAATATACAGAGTAGCAAGGACGTCCCTGGGAGATGGGAGAGAAAGGTGGTGAGGGACTCACACAAAGGGGACAGGTACTGATCAAGGCCAGCAGATATTCTGGGTTTGAGGAGTGTGGTCTGCCTGGCTGGGAGGTGTCAACGCACAGCAGATACCCTGCGTTTGAGGAGTGTGGTCTGCATGGTTGGAAGGGGTCACCACACAGCAGATACCCTGGGTTTGAGGAGTGTTGTCTGCATGGCTGGGAGGGTCACTGCAGAACGTGGCTGCATAGCATGTGTACGTGTGCTCAGCAAAGGGCCCTATCACCCCTGCCTGAAGGTAGAAGGTGCAGAACTGACAGGTCATCACCCAAAGACTGACAATGTTACTTCCGTCAGCTGAGTGGCCACCACACTCCAGTGACTGCTGGGCAGTTTGTAGCATGATTTGATTTATCCCTCTTGACAACTCTAAGAGGTTTTTTTTGTTTGTTTGTTTTGTTTTTTTAATGGAGTCTCGCTCTGTCGTCCAAGCTGGAGTGCAGCGGCATGATCTTTGCTCACCGCAAACTCCACCTCCCGGGTTCGAACGATTCTTCTGCCTCAGCCTCCTGAGTAGCTGTGACTACAGGCGTGCGCCACCATGCCCAGCTAATTTTTGTATTTTTACTAGAGACGGGGTTTCACCGTATTGGTCAGGCTGGTCTGGAACTCCTGACCTCGTGATCCGCCCACCTCAGCCTCCCAAAGTCAAAGTGCTGGGGTTACAGGCGTGAGACACCATGCCTGGCCCCTAAAAGGTCTTTATCATTACATACACTTTGTGGGTGAAGAGACAGAGGCAGAGGGACCCACCTTATAAGTGACACAGTCTGGATTTGGGCCCAACCTGTCTAGTGCCTGGGCTGCCCCATGGTTAGACAGAGGACAAACAGGTGTGAAGGAAGCCAGACAACCAGGAGAGAGAGGAAGAACTCACCCCAGCAGGGATGAACCACAGGGCGAGGCCAAGTGAGAAAGGAAAAGAAAAACGCAACTGCCACCTGGAGGAGTCAGATCTGGAAGGGCACTGGAAGGGTAACTGCTGTGGTGGCCAGAACAGGGCTTCTGATTTTAAGATTACTGAGCCAGAGCCCACAGAGTCTGGAGGTGACCATGTGGGGGCAGAGGTGGACAGGGCCTAGTGGGGTCAGGCTGCGTGGGGACTGGTGCTCCACGTTAAGGCACAGCTGAAGATGCAAGAGCATGCCGACCAGGGAACGAGGCCCAGGGGTTGAGGACAAGCTCCATGGCCAAGGGCCCTGGTGGACCTGAGGGCTGAGACGGGTGGGGTGCAATCCTAGCAGAGGCACCAAGACACCAGGATTTGGAAGAATGAGTGGCACAGGGAGGGGAACGCTGAAGAGGGGCACAATCGACCAGTCCCTGGGCCAGGTTTGCCCCTCTTGGAGGGTGGGGGCTGCGTAGGTGAAAGTTCCTTCTCCTGGTTGGACTCTTCTCCCCAGAGGTCTCACATTCTGATGACCCTGTGGGGACCTTATAAAGACAGGTGAGCAAGCCAGCCCTGGTTGACTCAACATGCCCTCAGAAGGGCCTCAATCCAGCCACCAGATGGCAGCTGGAAATAAGACAAAGCTTCCCGAAGTCAAAAGAGGCCTACACTTCGGAAGCTGCTTAAACAACCAATCACACGGTCCTGGGGTTGCCTGATTCCTCATCAGAACAGCAGAAAACTCCATGCCCTTCCTCATATGAATTTTTCTAATAAAGGATAAGAAAGGAATGAGAATCTGATAATAAGGACTCTCTTGAAAGGCTGCTTGGTCCTGTGGTGAGCTCTGGTCTCTCTGGTGATATGGGGCCCTGTACATCTCCAGCCCAGCAGGGAAGTCTCCTGATCTGTGGCCCAGGACATCATCTGAGGTCCCAGCCATCAGCTGCCCAGAGCTCTGCACCCACTCTGCTCTAAGCGCCCCTGTGGGTCTGGCATGCCCAGTGGGTGTAAAGCATGACTGTTTAGTGGCCACGGCCTACACAGCTATAGATCTATAGATGTTGTCCATCAGCAGCTGAGAAGTGCCCACAGGGGGACACAAGTGAGCTGATCCTGGCTAGGGCGTTGGAGATGCGTGTGCTGAAAGCTAAGAGGTCAGGAAGATAGGGTCCCAGCAAGAAAGAGGAGAGGCTGCCCAGCAGAAAGAGTGGGTATACAGGAAGAAAGCAGAGGGGTCAAGGACGGGGAGTTTTTATGAGCTTGAAGACAGATGGGAAGATCAGTGATGGGGACAGGAAGATGTAGTCAGCAGAAAGCTATATGGCAATGGGAGGCTTTGAGATGGGGCAAGGGCAGCCCCAAGAGGCAATGACCAAAGCTGATCCAGAAGCCAGGGGGCTGGACAGGTCAACCCCTGCCCCAGCACAGCAGCAGGAGGTCCATGCAGAGGAGCTCCAGGTGGAGAAGTCAGACACACATGGAGACCCCAAGATGAGGCCGGCGGGGCAGGACAGCACAGCACACAGGCTTCCCTGAGGCCAAGGGAGAGCCCTCGGGGGTGACACAAAGGACATGGGGAAGGTAAGGCAGCTTGCTACAGAGCAGGGTGGGGTGTAAGCCAAGGGGCACGGGGAAACAGTGAGGTGCCTACTCCACCCCAGGTACAGCTCTTCTCTCCTCTGCATGGGCCAGCATACCTGTGCTGCCCACATGAGTCTCTCCTCAGCCCCAAACAGTGAGCTCCTTAAAGGCCAGGTCCAAGCCTGTGCCTGTTCATCTCTGAGTTCCCTGCATCTGGCTCAGCCCCCAGGACACACAAGGACACCAATCAAAGCCTGCTGAGGGACATATGCATGCACTTTAGTGCATAAGAACCATTTTGCCTTTCAGTGACCTTGCAGGATTGCGTTGCTTTCTTTCACAGAACAGGAGCCTTCCAATGTCAACAATAAACAGGAACTATAAACAGAGGGAGTGTGCAGGGAAAACACATCCAGGGAGTTTCAGCATCTTCTCACGCACTTGGAAAAGTCTGCCCAATTTTTGGCTGAAGTCCAGCCAAAAGATTCAAAGGAAAATCTATTTTTTCCCCAAGCAGCAGAAAGAAAGACTCAGAGTAATTCTCTCAAGTGCTGTGTGCCTCTGATTTCTTGGAGTTTGATCAATGTGACACAATATTTGGGCATAACAATTAAGAACAAATAAATTCCACACAGGGAACAATGTGTCATCCAGCCCCAAATACACAGGTGGAAGGGAATGTGAGAGCTGCCACCAGGCAAAACGGAAGGAATACCAAACTGGCTGGAGAAAAGGCCACTGCATTCCAGGGCATTCTACAGGACATGCTTGCTTCACTGCTTTCAAATCCCTCTCATAACTTCAAATATGTGGAAAAAGTTTGTTTCCCCCTGAAGGGTTGCAGGCAAATATGCCCTTCTCCTGGGGATAAGTCCAATAATAACTCTTTTCAGAGGGAGCCAAATAACCCGTGTTCAAACCATCACATGCAAAATCCTTGGGAAAGCACATCATCCCGCTCTGTGGTGGCTGCTGACCAAAGACGGTTTGGCCTGGAGTGGACAGGTGACTTCTACACTCTGGCCACTGAGCCTGTCCAGCCCTCCCATCCACCACCTTCCTGGCCAGATGGAGGTCCTAGTCCCAGATCTTGCCCAGGCCAATACCCTCAGCTTCAAGGGAAGGAGCACGGAGCTGTCTCCACCAAGTTATCTTGAACCTCCCCTGGTGACTCCCAGGCTGAGGGATGCTGCAGTCTGACTATGATGCCCAGGCCACAGAGGACACTCACAGTCCCTGAACACATCTACCCTTTTGCTCCAACCATGCCCACCACCTGGAGTCCTCTTCCCTGCCCTCCTCACCTCCATCTCCATATTCCAAAGCTTCTCAAGTCTCACCTCCCACCAGTAACATCCTATCCCCACACCCCACCTCCAGCCACCCCAAGACACTGAGGGCCTCCTACCTTACACTGTGCTAATCCATATGCAAATCTCCCTTCCAACCACAGAGGGTCTTGGTTCTCACCTCTGTGGGAGCTGCCACACCTTGCTCCTGAAGTTTGAGTTCATATAGGGCTGTAAACTGAAAAAAAATTCGAAGTGCCACAACCATGTAAATGGGCTCCTCCTTTCAGCCAAGGGCATTCCAAAGTTAACCTAAAAAAAGTAGCTAGGGTCATGATGGGAAGTGGGGGTTGGACATGCCTCTGTACCCTCCTCCCTTTGGAATTCAGGCACAGCTGCCTAGCATTAACATTAAAGCAGAGATCTTAAGACTTTTTGTAGCAATGACACCAAGTTCCAGCCTGACTCTAGTATAGTATCACATGACAAATAGCAGGCCCTAAAAGAGATCAGAGTATTTTACCTGAAAATACATTTCTTTGACATATTTTGAAATGGCCCTGCAAATCTGTCTCTTGGGAAAGTCTATGTTCTTTAGAGAATCTCTTTCCTTTTCCAGGTCTTTTCCTTGATCCAGGAGAGAACTAAGAGTGTGGCACCTTTTTAAGTCTGGTGAGAACCATTTACAATCTATTCTCTCTGAAGCCTGCTACTTGGAGGCTTCATCTGCATAATAAGAACCCTGGGCCCGGCGCGGTGGCTCACACCTGTAATCCTAGCACTTTGGGAGGCCAAGGCAGGCGGATCACAAGGTCAGGAGATCGAGACCATCCTGGGTAACACCTTGTCTCTACTAAAAATACAAAAAATTAGCTGGGCGTGGTGGTGGGCGCCTGTAGTCCCAGCTACTCGGGAAGCTGAGGCAGAAGAATGGCGTGAACCCAGGAGGTGGAGCTTGCAGTGAGCCGAGATGGTGCCACTGCACTCCAGCCTGGGCGACAGAGTGAGACTCTGTCTCAAAAAAAAAAAAAAAAAAAAAAAAAAAAGCAAAGCAAAGAAAAAATATGTGGCCTGGAAATAAGTATTCCTTCCTTCAGCTCATTTTAGGCAACTGGCAAGTTCGAGCCATAAATATAAAACTGGAAAACCTCAAAAGGTCAAATTTTAGATGCACAGGCAGAGAATCACTACTGCAGTGAGCAGAGGTGGCTGGGTGCCGCTGAACAGCACTCTGCTCCAACACCTGGTCCTGGGCTCCAGGGAAGGCCCACGGCTGAGGAAGGGCTGGCAGGGAAGGGCTACCGTCCCAGCTTGCAGACCCCTCTGTGACTGACACAGGTACTCTTTTGGGAAGTGTGAGCACGCCTCCCCCAGGATGACCATGGCTTTCCCTCCTGCAGCCACAAGCAGCATGTCTTTGCCCTGAGCAGAAGGTGAATGTCTTTCTAGAGGTGAATCCCTCGGGGGCTGCTGAGCCTCATTTTGGGTCGACACATGTTGTTGGACATAAGTTGTTTGAAGACAGTAAAAGCAGTTTTTTCCTTTCACCTCTCAAGTGCCCTGGGCGCCTAATCTCCTGCGGGTGATTCTGCCCCATCTCCTGCCACCGGCTGTGGGCGGATGATTTATGAGTGCTGGGTGTCAACGAAAAGAGTCAAACTCTGTAAAATATTTGAAGAGGGCTGGGCGCAGTGGCTCACGCCTGTAATCCCAGTACTTTGGGAGGCCAAGGCAGGAGGATCACCTCAGGTCAGGAATTGGAGACCAGCCTGGCAAACATGGCAAAACCCCGTCTCTACTAAAAATACAAAAACTAGCCAGGCGTGGTGGTGGACACCTATAATCCCAGCTACTTGGGAGGCTGAGGCAGGAGAATTGCTTGAACTTGGGAGATGGGGGTTGCAGTGAGCCGAGATCACGCCACTGCACTCCAGCCTGGATGACAGAGTGAGACTCCGTCTCAAGAAAAAAGAAAAAAATATATATATATACATATATATATACACACACACACAACACATACATATTTGAAGAGATTTATTCTGAGCCAAATATGAGTGACCATGGCCCCTGGCACAGCCCTCAGGAGATCCTGAGAACATGTGCCAAGGTGATTGGGGTGCAATTTGATTTTATACATTTTAGGGAGACACGAAACTTCAATCAAATACATTTAAGAAACACATTGGTTTGGTCCAGAAAAGTGGGACAACTTGAAGTGGGCAGGGTTTCCAGGTTACAGGTAGATTTAAATTTTTTCTAATTGGCAATTGATTTTAAGAGTTATCAATAGAGGCCGGGTGCAGTGGCTCACGCCTGTAATCCCAGCACTTTGGGAGACTGAGATGAGTGGATCACCTGAGGTCAGGAGTTCAAGAACAGCCTGGTCAAGATGGTGAAACCCGACTCTATTAAAAATACAAAAATTAGCCAGGCATGGTGGCACATGCCTATAATAACTACTCAGAAAGCTGAGGCAGGAGAATTGCTCGAACCTGGGAGGCAGAGGTTGCAGTAAGCTGAGATCGTGCCACTGCACTCTAGCCTGGGCAACAGATAGAGACTCCATCTCAAAAACAAAAACAAAAACAAAAAACAAAGAGTTATCACTAGAAAGGAATACCTGGGTTGGGATAAGAGGTTGTGGAGACCAAAGTTTTATCACGCAGATGAAGCCTCCAGGTAGCAGGCTTTGGAGAGAATAGATTGCCAATGTTTCTTATCAGACTTAAGGTCTGTGTTGATGTTAACATCAGAGAGGTATTACAAGGCATGTCCTATTCCCACTTCCCATCATTGCCTGAACCAGTCTTTCAGGTTAAATTTTAGAGTGCCCTGGCCTAGGAGGAAGTCCCAGTTAGATGGTTGGGGGGCCTTTGAATTTTAATTTTTTGTTTACATGGGGCACATGACCCACCAGCAATGCCAGCATGAATGGAATTGGTTGCATTCACAGTGCAACACACTTTGCATTTACCATCGTGTAATCCTCCCAGCAACTAAGCAGGAATGCCAAAGACAGGGAACTGGAGCTCAGAAACATTCACTGATTTGACCAAGGCCCCAGAGCTGGGCTTAGGGAGAAGTTTGGTCAACTGTTCATTCCATAGACGAGAGGCTGAGGCACCATGAGACACAGTGACTTATCCAGCATCAGATCTGCCCCTGGGCCCACTGTTCTGTCCACACTGCCACAGAATATTCTACCAAATTTGGAAAGGGAACAGTTAGAGAAATGCAAACTTAGCCCAGAATGACAGCACTCAAACACTGGGAGGACCGTCAGGCCCAGCCCTCTGGCTCTGACCTTTCACTATGTTCTTCACCTCTCCCTCCCTCTCCTAGTGTGCTCTGTTCTTGACCAAGCAGAAATCAGTCTCACTGCTTCCACTCCTGGTTCTGCTTGTTCCACTAGAAACGAGTCTGTGGCCAGGCGCGGTGGCTCACGTCTGTAATCCTCCCACTTTGGGAGGCTGAGGTGGGCAGATCACTTGAGGCCAGGAGTTCAAGACCAGCCTGGCTAACATGGCAAAACCTCGTCTCTACTAAAAATACAAAAATCAGCCAGGCATGGTGGCGCATGCCTGTAATCTCAGATACTTGGAGGGTTGAGGCAGGAGAATTGCTTGAACCTGGGAGGCGGAGGTTGCAGTAAGCCAAGATTGCGCCACTGCACTCCAGTCTGGGTGACAGAGCAAGACTCCATCTCAAAAATAAAAAACAAACAAAATTAGAAACGAGTCTGTGGCTTCATTTGCACACCCTCACTCTTCAAACTTTCAATTCAAGCAGGTTCTGCCTGGTCTTCCTTTCTCCGGCCAAATGTCACAAGTTCATTTGTTCCAGTGGTGACAGTGTCAGAAGCATCCTAACCAGAGTGACTCCATCTTGAATAAAGCCAAGATAAAGCCAAAGCTGCTGGGTTACATTCCCAGGAGGTTGGGCACTCCTGGTCACATGTTTATGGTTAAGAGAATGAGCTAATGATATTAACCAACTAAAGACTCAGAACTTATGGAAATGTCCCAGTACTTTAAAAACACAAAAGCATTCTTAGTTTAAGAGTAGGTTTTGATTTAAAAATAATAGTACACTCATAAATTCTTGCTAAAATCAAGAATTAGCAACAATAGGAAAGTAACAATACTAATAGCCTGCCACTAGTTAATCACCAGCCTTTGTAATAAATACACGATTCTTTTTTGTTTGTTTGTTTGTAGACAGAGTCTCGCTCTGTCTCACCCAGGCTGGAGTGCAGTGACACAATCTCGGCTCACTGCAACTTCCACCTCCCAGGTTCAAGCGATTCTCCTGCCTCGGCCTCCCAACTAGCTGGGATTACAGGCGTGCGCTACTATGCCCAGCTAATTTTTGTATTTTTATTACAGACGGGGTTTCACCATGTTGGCCACGCTGATCTCGAACTCCTGACCTAAGGTGATCCACCTGCCTTGGCCTCCCAAAGTGCTGGGATTACAGGCATGAGCCACCATGTCTGGCCTAAATACACAATTCTTAACAACCTGCTAGCACATTGCTCCTTTTGCTTTCTGAGGATGCCCTACTCTGTAACTGAGTAGTCTCTAATAAGTGATCTTAACTTCACTCTGTGACTTGCCTTGATTTCTTTCCTGCGACAGATTCAAGAACCCACTCTTGGGATCTGGGACCAGACCCCTTTTCTGGTGACAATAGGTAGAAAGGAACCGCAACACCACAGTCTTCTTCTGCAAGGACACTGCTGGTGCTGCCAAGGGTGTCATGGCACACTGGCCCCACAACAGATCCTTGCTAGGCACCAACCCCAGTAACAAACTTAGTGTCTGGCCCTGAGGTCACCATGAAAACAAGACATACAGGCAGACATACAGGCTCTCTCTGCCCTCAAGGAACTTAGGTTCTATTGAGGAGATGAACAATAAACAATTTAAATGGTTCGGGGGTCTTGGAAGTTTTTTAGTTTAGGCCAGGTGCAGTGGGTCACACCTGTAATCCCAGCACTTTGGGAGGCTGAGGCAGGCGGATCACCTGAGGTCAGGAGTTCAAGACCGGCCTCAGGAGGCGGAGGTTGCATGCAGTGAGCCAAGATCGCGCCACTGCACTCCAGCCTGGGTGACAGAGTGGACTCCATCTTAAAATAAATAAATAAATAAAAATAGGCTGGGTGTGGTGGCTCATGGCTGTAATCCCAGCACTTTGGGAGGCAGGGGTGGGTGGATCATTTGAGGTCAGGAGTTCGAGACCAGCCTGCCCAACATGGTAAAACCCTGCCTCTACTAAAAATACAAAAATTAGCTGGGTGTGGTGGTGGGTGCCTGTAGTCCCAGCTACAGACTGAGGCAGGAGAATCACTTGAACCCAGGAGATGGAGGTTGCAGTGAGCCAAGATCATACCACTGCACTCCAGCCTGGGTGACAGAGCAAGACTCCACCTCAAAATATAAATAAATAAAAATAAAAATAACTGTAGATGGCAGTGAAGAAAATATCCAGGGTGCTATAATGGAGATGTCTCAAGAGAGAGGAACAGCTTAAAGTACTTCGAGGTGACATTAGGCTGAGCTCCGAAGATGGGACACCAGTCAGATGTGTTCTAGGCAGAGAGACCAGGAAGTACAAAGGCCCTGAAGCAGAGCTGAGCCCAGTGGGTGGGGCAAGGAAGAGGAGGAAAGGAGGCTGCCAGCAGGGGCCTGATCACACGGGGCCTTACCGCACCGCCAATGTGAGGAAGAGCTTGGATTTTACCCAACGACCACTAGCAAGCCACTTAAGATAATTTTATACGTGTGTGTGGATGTAAACATACATAATGTTTACCATTTGAATCATTTTATTTTTATTATTATTATTTTTGGGGACAAGGCATTGCTCTGTTACCCAGGCTGGAGTACAGTGGCATGAACATGGTTCAGTGCAACCTCAAACTTATGGGCTCAAGCAATCCTCTTGCCTCAGCCTCCCAAAGTGTTGGAATTACAGGCGTGTGCCACCATGTCTGGCCCATTTTAAAGTGATATTTAGTACATTCATAATGTGCAACCACCACCTCTGTCTAGTTACATAATATTCTCATCACCCCAAAAAGAAACCCCATACCCTTTAAGCTGTCACTTCCCATCTCCCCCTAGTTCCTACAAACCACTAGTCTGCTTTCTATCACTATGGATTTACCTGTTCTATTCCTAGCTTGCTGAGTGTGTTCATCATGAAAGGGTGTTGAATATTTGTCAGATCGTTTTTCTGTATCAGTTGAGAGGGCCACATGTGGCTTTTTTCACCTTCAGTCAAATTGATGTACTACATTGTTTGTTTTTTGGTTGTTGTTGAACTACCCTTCCACTCCTGGGGTAAGTCCCACTTGGTCATGGTGTATAGTCCTTTAAATACTCTAATGGATTTTGTTTGCCAGTATTTTGTTGAGGGATTTTGCAGCTATATTCATAAAGGATAATGGTTTATACTTTTCTTTTCTTGTGACGTCTTTGTTTGGCTTAGGTATCAGGGCTGGCCTCATAAAATTAGTAATTAAGTGTTTCATCCTCAGGCTGGGCACAGTGGCTCGTGCCTGTAATCCCAGCACTTTGGGAGGCCAAGGCAGGCGGATCATCTGAGGTCAGGAGTTCAAGACCAGCCTGGCTAACATGGTGAAACTCCGTTTCTACTAAAAATACAAAAAAATTAGCCGGGTGTGGTGGTAGGTGCCTGTAATCCCAGCTACTCGGGAGGCTGAGGCAGGAGAATCGCTTGAACCTGGGAGGTGAAGCTTGCAATGAGCCGAGATTGCACCACTGCACTCCAGTTTAGGCAACAAGAGCGAAACTCCATCTCAAAAAAAAAAAAAAAAAAAAAGTGTTTCATCCTCTTCAATTTTTTGGAAAAAATTTAAGAAGAATTGGTATAATTTTTTTTTTGAGACAGGGTCTCACTCCACTGCTCAGGCTGAAGTGCAGTGGTGAAATCATGGCTCACTGAAGCCTCAACCTCTGGGGGTCAAGCAATCCTCCCACCTCAGGCTCTGAAGTAGCTGGGACTACAGGCATGTGCTATCATGCCTGGCTAGTTTCATTTTTCAAATTTTTGTAAAGAAAGGGTCTCACTATGTTGCCCAGGTTAGTGTTAAACTCCTGGGCTCAGTTGATCCTCCCTCCTAGGCCTCCCAAAGTGCTGGAATTACAGACGTGACCCACCAGGCCCAGCCTTGCAAGTTCTTTAAATGTTTGGTAGAATTCACCCAATTAAGCCATCTGGTCTTGGACTTTCCTTAGTTTCAAGATCTTTGATTACAGATTCAATGACCTCTTCATTGTAGGTCTGCTAAGATATTTTATTTCTTCTTTACTCAGTTTTTGTAATTTGAGTGTTTCTAAGAGTTTGTCCATTTGCATCCAGGTTATCTAATTTGTTGGCATAAACTGTTCATTATAATCCTTTTCATCCTGTTCTTATAACCCTTTTCATTTCTGTAAGGTCATTAGTAATGTTCCCACTTTCATTTCTGATTTCAGTAATTCGAGTCTTCTCTTTTTTTCTTAGTCTAGCTAAAGGTTTACCAACTACGTCAGTCTTTTCAAAGAACCAACTTTTGCTTTCATTCATTCTCTCTATTGGTTTTTCTATTCTCTATTTCATTTACTCTAACTCTAATTTTTTTTTTTTTTTTTTTTTTTTGAGACAGAGTCTCACTCTGTTGCCCAGGCTGGAGCGCAGTGGCATGATCTCAGCTTGCTGCAACCTCTGCCTCCCCGGTTCAAGTGATTCTCCTGCCTCAGCCTCTTGAGTAGCTGGGATTACAGGCGTCTGCTACCACATCTGGCTAATTTAATTTTTAAATTTTTTTAGTAGAAATGGGGCTTAAGCATGTTGGCCAGGCTGGTCTCAAACTCCTGACCTCAGGTGATCTGCCCACCTTGGCCTCCCAAAGTGCTGGGATTACAGGCGTGAGCCACCACGCCCAGCCCAACTTTAATCTTTATTGTTTCCTTCCCTCTGCTAGCTTTGAGTTTAGTTTGTTCTTTACCTACTTCCTTCGGGTATAAAGTTTGGTTTTTCATTTCAGATTCATTTTCCTTCTTTTTTAACATACACTTTTAGCGCTATAATTTTTTTTTTGTATTTTTTTCTGGCACACAAATGAGGATTAGATAGAACTATACATTTCTCTCTGGGCACTGCTTTTGCGTATTCCAAAATTTTGGTAAACTGTGTTCTTGTTTTCATTTATCTCAATGTATTTTCGAATTTCCCTTGTGATTTCATCTTTGATCCACTCATTGTTTAAGAGTATGTTGTTTAACTTCCATGCATTTTCTAGTGTTACCTCTGTTATTGATTCCTACCTTCATTCCACTGCGGTCAGAAAAGATACTTCATATAGTCTCAATCTTTTTTAAATTTATTGAGACTTGTTTTGTGGCCTAACATATGGTCTATCCTGAAAAATGTTCCATGTGTACTTGAAAAGAAATTATAATCTGCTGTTGTTGAGTGGAGTGTTTTGTATATGTCTGCTAAGTCTAGTTGGTTTATAGCACCTAAGAGTTGATTTATTTGTTTGTTTGTTTGTTTGTTTGTTTTGAGACAGAGTCTCACTCTGTTGCCCAGGCTGAAGTGTAGTGGCGTGATCTCGGCTCACAGCAACCTCTGCCTCCAGGGTTCAAGCGATTCTCCTGCCTCAGCCTCCCAAGTAGCTGGGACTACAGGCACGCGCCACCACACTCAGCTAATTTTTGTATTTTTAGCAGAGATGGGGTTTCACCATGTTGGTCAGGGTGGTCTCGAACTCCTGATAGACATCCAGATAGGAGGGGATTGTACTTGGATTAGGGCATGGCAAAAGAGCTGGGGAGTAGCAGGTGATTTCAAGAGATAAGCAGAAGTAGGAAGTAGGCTTCCAGCAGGATGAGACAGGGTTCTCAGTTCAGGAGAAGAAAACAGGCCCCGGGATAACCCACAGTGGCCTGCCTAAAGTGCTATCTATGTCCTTGACCCAGCTGGCCACCATCAGCCAGGCCCAAGGAGAGCGACATTAGGCCATCTTCTCTCATTCAAGGCTGCCCCAAGCTGACTCCAAGACAGGCAAAAAGTTACAAACCACAACTCTCTCACATCAGCCTGAGAGCTTAGAGAGGAGGACCTTGCCTTTAACAGAAGGCCATCAAAAGGGCTATTTTCCAAGACATAATCAGGTGGTCCCAATCTTTCCATAAACACAGAGTAGCCGTCTGAAGGCTTTTCCTTCACATACATGGTTCATTCATGCTTCAAAAAGCCAACAGGAGAGGAATCCTACCTTGAGGGTTACCTGGACATTTGTCTCTGTCCTGTGCCCTTGCCCAGAAGGCTGCCCTCTTGGCACTTGTGCTGCATCTCATACAATGAAGGAAGCTGAGCCTAAGGTTACTCCCTCAGGGGTCCCCTTCTCCCCTAGATGAAGTCTGGGCAGCAGTCTCCAGCACTGCCCAGCTGAGTTAACAAGCACTTCCTTCCTCCCCGCCCTCACCTCCGCACCCTGCCAACTGCAAAAGAAACCCCTCGCACTGGCTGTCGTAGGAAAACTGTTGCCGGATGACTAATCCCATGACTGCCACCTGCTGCATTATTTTCAAGAAGTTCCTAAAAAATAAGGCAATTTATCATTTATTTATTTATTTATACTTAGAAAAGCGAAACCAGGGAGAGGAAGCTAGATCTCTAGTTAGCATCCTTACTTGGCCAGTGTGAGTGCCCTGAGCCCAGCTGTGCCAGCAGCCACAGATTTTGCCACAGTGGCTTCCCACAGGCATACAAACTGAGACCACAGGTCCTTCTGGGGGTCCCAACACAGCCCATGTCTGAGATGGTCCCACCTGCCTCCTTCACTGGGTGATGGAGTGGTACCCGGGGGACCGCCGTCAAGCTCAGCATCATTGCTGACATACGAGAGCTACATGAGTGCTGACACCTCAGGGAGAACAGTCACCAAGCAGGTGACCCATGCTCCAAATGAGTGAGACAAAAGAGAAAGCCAGACTGGTTTTCAGTGCCCTTTAATACTCACTGAGACCCTAGAGCTGGGAGACAGACCCCAACATGGGAGACAGGGATGGGGCATAAGGACCAACATCACTAGCTCTCATCCTGCCAAATGCTGGAGCTCCTTCCACAGGACTCACCATCTCCCCACCCAGTCTCCAAGATAGTCTGGGAGAGCAGGGGCTGTGCCCCCTTCTCACCTGGAGCCCTGCCTCCCCAGACAAACACATAGGTCTGTGGAATACACCATTCCACTAATGACTTCAGAAGGATCACTGTTGCATGTGTAGACACATTTTTCAACCATCAGAAACATTTACTGTAGCTCTGGGCAGGCAAGGCTGTGGGAGGTGTGTGTCCTCACACACTCCTGTTAACATTCCATGGCACAACCCCTGTGGAAGGCAGTTTGACAATACCTTGAAGAATTACAAATGTACGCGCCCACTGACCCAGCAAGCCGGCTTCCTGGAACATAAGTTTCATTTATACTCACATGTGCATGAAATGAAGTACTTGCAAGGTTACTCATGGCAGCACAGTATGTCACAACAAAATAAGGAAAACAACCCAAATGCTCACCAACAAGCTATAGGTTACATAAACTATGGTCCACCCATACAATGAAATACTACACTGTTGTAAGAACAAGGAGGAGGCTTTTTACATATTGACAGGGAAAATTTCCAAGACATATTGCTAAATGGAAAATAAAGAAGGCAGTGAATGCAGTTATTTTGAAATAAGTACCTATTTGAATATACATGTGAAGATACAAGTATCTCTGGCTGCCTCTTGGTAGGAGAATGGGGTGAGTGACTGGGAACCAGGAGTCAAAGACAAGACCTCACTGTGTAGGATTTAGAAGCTGTTGGTTTATGAGTCATGTTAAAATATTACTTTTTTTTTTTTTTGAGACAGAGTCTCACCCTGGTGCAATCTTGGCTCACTGCAACCTCCGCCTCCTGGGTTCAAGTGATTCTCCTGCCTCAGCCTCCTGAGTAGCTGGGATTACAGGCACGCACCACCACGCCCAGCTAATTTTTTGTATCTTTAGTACAGACAGGTTTTCACCATGTTGGCTAGGCTGGTCTCAAACTCCTGACCTCGTGATCCACCTGCCGCAGCCTCCCAAAGTGCTGGGATTACAGGCATGTGCCACCACACCCAGCCGAACATTACATATTTAAAAAATAAATTTATTGGCCGGGCGCGGTGGCTCATGCCTGTAATCCCAGTACTTTGGGAGGCTGAAGTGGGCGGATCACGTGAGGTCAGGAGTTTGAGACCAGCCTGGCCAACGTGATGAAACCCTGTCTGTATTAAAAATACAAAAATTAGCTGGGCATGGTGGTGTGCGCCTATAATCCCAGCTACTTGGGAGGCTAAGGCAGGATAATTGCTTGAACACGGAAGGCAGAGGTTGCAGTGAGCCGAGATCATGCCACTGTACTCCAGCCTGGGCGACAGAGTGAGACTCTATCTCAAAAAATAAAATAAATTTATAAAGTAAGAAACAAAATGTCTTGCTCAGGACATCTGAGCGGGCTTCCCTAATAGGCAAAGACAGCAGCTCTGGCTAAATGGTTTCACTCTCCACGATGGGGGAACCTGGGGAAACGGCTGGCTTGAGGCACAGACTGACTGCTGCTTCTGGACCTAACCCACTGCAGCATCTGAAGGGTCTGCTGAAGTCCTGACTAGCCCAAAGAAAGGCACACACAGCTCCTGCCCACCAAAAACATTTCCATGCCAAGAACTGCTCGCCAGACAGAATGGCTGAGTCTCTCACTGCTGACGATGCACAGAACATGCACGCACCTTGACCTTCCAGATTGATCCACGCTGGCCTGGGTCTCCTGGCCACCACTGCCCACCAGTGGCTTGCAATTCCCACTTCCTCCAGACTCATGACACCACCATATACACACCCGCTGTCCCAAGTGCTCACTACCTGAATGAGTGTTCATCACGCGGACAGCCTTGGCCTTGGCCAGCTCCAGGGCGGTGATCCACTGCTGCCGGTCCACCTCTGAGCTGGCCTTGAGGTGGTAGCTCCTGGCCCCACTGGTCAGCAAGATACCACAAGAGTCCTCCGTGTCAATGTGCGCGGTGGACAGGTTGATGGTTCCACGGCACGTGTGGGCCATTTCACCCTGATTTCTGTAGGATGTAAGAGAAGGAATGGGGTGAGGCTCCTAATCTCAATGGCTCCAGACTAAAGAAACCCTCCAGGCAAATCCTCAGAATCTCAGACCCTCAGAGCTGGGAGAGGCCCTGGAGTCAAAGTTGGGAGATGATGCCTATTGGAACTGCCTGGTCGTGGCTTGGTTGAGGGGGACTCTAAGGCCACGACTGCTCTCTGTGGGGAATGGCAGAGGGACGGGAGCCTGCATTGGTGCCACGTGTGCAGGGAGTGTCTGGTGTGGTCTAAAGCTTTGCAGACACCAGGAAATGGCAGAATGACTGCCCAGGTCTCTCAAGACAGATCAGCCTTCGGACTCTATGCTAAACTCTTTCCTTTAAGTCTTAGAACCATGGAGTTGGGGCCAGGCGCGGTGGCTCACACCTGTAATCTCAGCACTTTGGGAGACCGAGGAGGGCAGATCACTTGAGGTCATGAGCCAACACGGTGAAACCCTGTCTCTACTAAAAATGAAACTGCCTTTGCAAAATTATGACTGAGAGTGAAAGAGATCTAACTTAACTGACTCCATCTTGCTTCTAACCTCCAAGCTGTCTTTGTTCATTCCTGGGCATAGGCTGAATTAACTTTGAAAGAAACTTAATTTGTAGTTTATAGTTTAAACAAAGATGGGAACAGCCCTTTCCCGAAGCAGACCTCCTTCTTGCCTAGGGACTAGAGTAACATTAGCCACAGGATTAGAAATTATGGTTTAGGAGTCATGCATTTGGAGGCTATAAGATTCTGACCCTCCCTAAACTGCTCCTAAGAGCAGTGCTTGAGATATTTTGCAAACCCTGCACTTGATGGATCAGCTGGCACCACCCACATCGATAAACTGGCTCGTCTGATCTTGTGGCCCCCACCTAGGAACTGACTCAGCACAAGAAGACAGCTTCAACATCCTGTGATCTCATCCCTGACCAATCAGCACTCCTGGCTTACTGGTTCCCCCACCACCCTCCAAGTTATCCTTAAAAACTCTGCTCCCCTTGGCCAGGCGCGGTGGCTCACACCTTTAATCCCAGCACTTTGGGAGGCCGAGATGGGCAGATCACCCGAGGTCAGGAGTTCAAGACCAGCTGGCCAACATGGTGAAATCCCGTCTCTACTAAAAATACAAAAATTAGCTGGGCGTGGTGGCTCTTGCCTGTAATCCCAGCTACTCGGGAGGCTGAGGCAGGAGAATTGCTTAAACCAGGACCGGGGAGGCAGAGGTTGCCGTGAGCCAAGATCGCGCCACTGCACTCCAGCCTGGGCTACAGAGCGAGACTCTGTCTCAAACACAAACAAACAAACAAAACAAAACAAAACAAAAACTCTGCTCCCTGAATGCTCAGGGAGACTGATTTGAATAATAATAAAACTCCCATCTCCCGCACAGCAGACTCTGTGTGAATTACTCTTTCTCTATTGCAATTCCCCTGTTTTCATGAATCGCCTCCGTCTAGGCAGCAGGCAAGGTGAACCCCTTGGGCGTTTACAAAAATACAAAAATTAGCCGGGCATGGTAGCGTGCACCTGTAGTCCCAGCTACTTGGGAGGCTGGGGCAGGAGAATCACTTGAACCCGGGAGGCGGAGGTTGCAGTGAGCCAAAATGGTGCCACTACACTCCAGCCTGGGTGACAGAGCGAGACTCTGTCTCAAAACAAACAAAAAAAAGAACTACAGAGTTGGAGCAGGTTGGGATCCTGCCATTAAAACTGAAATTGGAGGCCCAGAGCCTGAGGGGGCAGACGTAGAGGCATCTCCTGCTGGGAGGCACCTGGGGCCAATGTCTCCCTGATGCTGCCCTTTTGTTCTATCATGAGATCTACAGAGCAAGGATGTCCCATTCTCTGGCTCTACATGGATTAGTTGAAGGCATTGGCTGGGCAAACATAGTGCAATCTCATAACAACGGACTTATAAGATGATGGAGCTAATGGTATCAAAATAAGGGGAGGGTAGGTGACTAAAGTGTATGCCATTTCCAATTACAATCAATGTCGGAAAACGGAGATCCAACTATCATGACTGGATCTAACTCACTCCTCAGACACTTGAAGGAAATTCAGAACCCCTACGACATAATAAATCTTTTCCCATGAAGGGTGTTAGAAAAGGAAGAGTGATTGGCCAGCATTTAATACTGCCAGTGACAGGAGCTCATTTGGTAATTTTCTGCTACCTTTTAATGCTCATTTATTTTCCCTGGCTGTTCATCATCTGTCATTTTTTTGATTCTTCTATCAGTTCTAAAGTCAAATGACTCGACACTCAATCAGACATTTGTCAGCTGGGCACGGTGGCTCACGCCTGTAATCCCAGCACTTTGGGAGGAGGAGGCAGGTGGATCACTTGAGGTGAGGAGATTGTGACCAGCCTGGCTAACATGGTGAAACCCCGTCTCTACTGAAAAATACAAAAATTAGCCGGGCACGGTGGCGGGTACCTGTAGTCCCAGTTACTCGGATGGCTGAGGCAGGAGAATCACTTGAACCTGGGAGGCGGAGGTTGCAATGAGACAAGATTGCACCATTGCACTCCAGCCTGGGCAACAAGAGCGAAACTCCGTCTCAAAGAAAAAAAAAAAAAGACATTTGTCTTTTTTTGAACAGCGATTGTCTTTTCCAATTCCCTTGTGCTTTGGGCACATTCCTTAGAGAAGATGACGTGTAGCTGAAGGAAAACCCAACTCTTAGCTGCTGGTATCTTTTGTTCGAAGGACAGTCACTCTAATTTAGAAAACTGGTGAAGCTGGGCATGCCTGTTGGGAGCCTGACACTTTTAGATTTAAGGACATTTTAGGCTAGAAATTGTTCAGGTGTAAGTGTAGTGACTCACCAAAAATGACATTATGGCTTAGCTCAGAAATAAGAGGGGGATGGGCAGTGTTCCGGACAGAGAGAGCAGCAGGGGCAAAGACCACCAGGTGAGGGGCAGTTCTCAGCTTCCAAGAAATAGAAAGAAAGGTCCTTTGGCCAGAGTGCCAACAACAAGAGAGCAAATGAGAGAAAAATGAAGCAAAAAAATCAGGCAGGTGGGTAAGCATATTTCTGGAGTTGAAAAAAAAAAAAAGGAAAAGAAAATCAGGCAGGGACTAAATTCAGTACCTTGTAGGCTACGTTAAGGATTTAGAGTCTCAGCCGTGCACGGTGGCTCACGCCTGTAATCCCAGCACTTTGGGAGGCCGAGCCGGGTGGATCACGAGGTCAGGAGTTTGAGACCAGCCTGGCCAACATAGTGAAACCCCGTCTCTACTAAAAATACAAAAATTAGCAGGGCATGGTGGTTGCATGCCTGTAGTCCCAGCTACTCAGGAGGCTGAGGCAGGACAATCGCTTGAATCCTGGAGGCAGAGGTTGTGGTGAGCCGAGATCGTGCCACTGCACTCCAGCCTGGGCAACAGAGCGAGACTCCATCTCAAAAAAAAAAAGATTTAGAGTCTCATCCTAAAACTAAGACAGTGAACATTGTGGGCCTAAAATCAGGAAAGAAACAGAGATGGTCAAGAGTTCTTGAAGTTAGGTTGGGCGTGGTGGCTCACATCTGTAATCTCAGCAATTTAGGAGGCCAAGGTGGGAGGATCACTTGAGGCCAGGAGTTCAAGACCAGCATGGGCAACATAGGAAGACCCCCATTTCTACAAAAAAAAATTTTTTTTAATTAGCCAAGTGAGGTGGTGTGCGCCTGTAGTCCCAGCTACTCAGGAGCTGAGGTGAGAGGATTGCCTGGGCCCAGGAAGTAGAGGCTGCAGTGAGCCATAATCATGCCACTGCATTCCAGCCTGAGTGACAGAGTGAGACCCTGTCTTTAAAAAAAAAAAAAAAAAAAAAAAAAGGCCGGGCGCAGTGGCTCACGCCTGTAATCCCAGCACTTTGGGACGCCGAGGCTGCAGGATCACCTGAAGTCAGGAGTTCGAGACCAGCCTGGCCAACATGGTGAAATCCCATCTCTACTAATAATAGAAAAATTAGCCAGGTGTGGTGATGCATGCCTGTAATCCCAGCCACTTAGGAGGCTGAGGCAGGAGAATCACTTGAATCCAGGAGGCAGAGGGTGCAGCGAGCCAAGATTGCACCATTGCACTCCAGCCTGGGCAACAGAGCAAGACTCCGTCTCAAAAAAAAAGAGTTCCAGAAGTTCCTGTGGAAAAATGGAGAATCGAAGTGACTTGCACAGGGTGGGAGATGGCAGCCAGGCCACTGCATGAAATCAGGGCTGGACTAGAAGTTACCCAGCAGTGATCATACCAGATTATAACCCATTAACTAAATAAATGGGGGAAAGAGGACAGATATTCCTAAACAAAAGTAGATGAAATTATGGACACAGAAAAATCACTAAATGCAATACAGAATCTTGGATTGAATTATAAAATAGAAAAAAAGAGACTAATGGAATTTGAATAATGTTTGGAGTTTAGTTAATAGTATTATAATGATGTTAGTTTTCTAGTTTTGAGAATTGTACTTTGGTGAGGTAAGATGTTAACACTAAGGGGAGCTAAGCAAAGAGTATATAGGAATTGTCTGCACTATTTTTCTAACTTTTCTGTAAATCTAAGTTATTTCAAAATTTTAACAATTTAATGCTGCTATCACCTTCTCAGGGTCACAGCTGATAGCAAAGTCTTGTAGCCAGAACCTGAACTCATCTGCCCAGGGTCAGGGATTGGATGGGAGATATTCCCAATGTCACTCAAGGGCAGAAGCCCCAAGCCCCCATCATAGGATCTGGTTCTAGACGGGACTCTCCAGGGGACTAAGTAAAGGCATTTTAAAAATCACTAGACAAAGAAGAGTGGGTGAGGCTGAGGGAGCGAGGGAGGGAAGACCTCCCAGTCGAGATGAGCCTGAAAACCAAAATTCAAAACCTGTGAAGAAAACCAATGCTAATAAAGAAGCCAATGAATTCAATGCTTAGAAGATGAATCACTTCAGGCCAGGGATGGTGGCTCACACCTGTAATCCCAGCACTTTGGGAGGCCGAAGTGGGTGGATCTCTTGAGGTCAGGAGTTCAAGACCAGCCTGGACAACATGGTGAAACCCCATCTCCACTAAAAATACAAAAATTAGCTGGGCATGGTGGTGTGTAGCTGTAATTCCAGCTACTCGGGAGGCTGAGGCATGAAAATCACTTGAACCTGGGAGGCAGAGGTTGCAGTGAGCTGAGATCGTGCCACCACACTCCAGTCTGGGCAACAGAGAGAGACTCTGACTCAAAATAAATAAATAAATAATAATTTTTTAAAAATACCAAAAATTAGCTGGGCATGGTGGTGCACACCTGTATTCCCAGCTACTCGGGAGGCTGAGGCACAAGAACTGCTCAAACTTGGGAGAAGGAGGTTGCAGTGAGACGAGATCATGCCACTGCACTCCAGCCTGGTCAACAGAGTGAGATGAGACTCTGTCTCTAAAAGAAAAAAAGAAGAAGAAGAAGAAGAAGAATCGCTTCAGCCATAATAATATGAAAAGTATTTAATATAAATAGGTTTAGGATTCTCAAAGATAAAGAATAACATCAGTAAAAGGGGGATAGGCTGGGGAGCAGTGGCTCACGCCTGTAATTCCAGCACTTTGGGAGGGTGAAGTGGGAGATCACTTGAGGCCAGGAGATCACGACCAGTCTCGGCAACATGGTGAAACCCTGTCTTTACAGAAACCACAAAAATTAGCCAGGCATTCCAGCCTGGGTGACAGAGTTAAGACCCTGTCTCAAAAAAAAAAAAAAAAAAAAAAGAGAGAGAAGAGAAGAAAAAAGAAGAAGAAACAATTTAATGAAATAGAAGTTGATAAAAATGAAACAAGAGCAGGTAGATATGAATAAGTAACATGAGCACTTCAGAAAATGAAAATATAGCAGATTAGTTTTTCTAGTCACCCAGCATCCAAATCTAAATTGATCCTTTACTCATTCTAGTTAGTGTTACTTTTTATTAAGGGTTTTATTTTATTTTTGAAATAGAGTCTCACTCTGTTGCCCAGGCTGGAGTGCAATGGTGCAATCATAGCTCACTGCAGCCTTGAACTCCTGCGCTCAAACAATCCTCCTGTCTCAGCCTCCCAAGTAACTGGGACCATAGGCATGTGCCACCATGCCAGCTAATTTTTTTTTGTTTTTGGTAGAGACAAGGTCTCACTATGTTGCCTAGGCTGGTCTTGAACTCCTGAGCTCAAGTTATCCTCCCACCTTGGCTTTCCAAAGTGCTAGGATTATAGGCATGAGCCACCAACCACACCCAGCCTCTTACTTTAACTTTTCAGTTTTATCTTTCTACATTATTTGGAAGGAATTATACAGTGAAATATATAAATGTGGGGGCTAACAACCCTTAAAATTATCAAGATCTGATACATTTGCTAGTCTTAGAATTTAGCTCTGCTCTTCTCTTTCATTTAGATATTTTATGTTCAATCCATTTTTAACCTGTAGCCAAGGTATTATTTTTACCTTTTTTATTCAGTTTTAAAAATTTTTCAATGGCTTCAAACTCAGTCCTGAAAGGGTCTAAAATTTAGGGATGTATCCTAAAATCCAGATTGTTGTTTAGGAGTAGTGCACCTGCTCATGTTGTAAATAAATGATTTTGTTTCTCCCACTGTGAGTCCTGGCTGAGGTAACCCTCTCTATGAAGGTTAAGCTTCCAGGGAAGTCCAATAGTCCAGACAGTGGCAAAGTTAAAGCCCTGCTCACAGTACACTATAGACCTGGGCCCTGCAAGCTGCAGTGGTAACTCCTCTCCCGCAAGAGGCTATGGAGGTGTGCAATATTCCAGAACCATCTGGTCTCACTGAGCCCTAAGCAGCTTCAGTGGCCTCACTACCAGCCATGATCTAAGGCCTCCCAGTTTCATCAGGGCTCATATCCAAAATACATGATAATGTGGCCAGGCATGATGGCTCATGCCTATAATCCCAGCACTGAGGCAGGCAGATCACTTGAGGCCAGGAGTTCGAGACCAGCCTGGCCAACATGGTGAAACCCCGTCTCTACTAAAAATACAAAAATTAAATGGGCCTGGTGGTGCATGTCTGTAATCCCAGCTACTCAGGAGGCTGAGGCAGGAGAGTCGTTTGAACCCAAGAGGTGATGGTTGCAGTGAATGGAGATCACACCACTGCACTCTAGCCTGGGTGACAGAGCTAAACTCCGTCTCAAAAAAAAAATGATAATGTATTTTCTGCCACTTTTAAGGAGACATGTTTTGAGGCATTACTTTGATATCTGATTTAGAACAAATATAAACAAAATACTAAACATCTGCAGTACAATTTAACTGCAAGAGAATTTACCACAACCAACATCCCACTAAGTTAACTACACCGATTCTCAACAAAATAATACTCGCAATGACCCCAGTCACACTCTCACCTCTGTCAAGGATTCCAGCAATCAGAACTTGGAAGCCTGTAGTAGTTAATGCATTGCTTTTTAGGCCATGGAGACCATCTATGGTTAGCGACTTACATAGTTGTATTGGACCCAAACCTTGTACATCAACTAAGAATGGTGCACCTCCTCCGTCCCCTCTCTCTCTCCTCCATTTAAGCCAAGTCGCCCCTGCATTTTTGGGCTTGGGAGTAGTACTGCATCTCAGAGTATGCAATCTGGTTTCCTGAGTGGTCACCGACAAGCTGGATTTTTGCAACCCACAGTATGGAAGGGTTAGTGACTCACAGGTTAAACAATGAGCAGTGGGAAATGGGAAGTGGATGGAAACCAGGCCAGGAAATGCTCTTCATTTATCCCCCCTGCAGATCTCTCCAAGGTATCTTTGCAAACCTTCCAGAGAAGTCCATGAGCCCAGAGAACATGAGTGGCCTCTGTGAGCCTTACAGTTTGCTGCAAAGCAGTGGCGAGGTCTTGAAGCCTCATGTTACTTTGCATCCTCCCCTTGCTTTCCTTCCTCTTTTGCCTCCCCAGCACCAAGGCTCATCTCGCGGCTCCACTGAGTGCCCGATCTACCAGCAGTAGAAACCAACACGGAACCCTCCTTGATATGGCCCATCCTTGGGAAGAGCCAGACAGCCACTAACTATATCAGACCCCTTCCACCTTGGAGGGATACACAATTTATCCTTCATGAAACGGAAGTGCTTTTTGGTAATGAGGTTGCCTTCCCTGCCTGTAGTGCCTCCAGCAGCACCATGGTCCAAAGTTACTGAATGCCTCGTGTGCTGGCCTGGACTTCCATTCGATACAGCCTTATACAAAGTGGCCCATTTCAGCCTAGCAGCTGTGCCAGTGACTCCTGGCCATAAATTCACTGGAATCACAGGAACCCAGCTGCACTAGGGGGCAGCGAGCCTGACAAAACAATGGAATGGCCTACTGGCTTAGCGGGGACACCGAGGGAGAAATACCCCTCAGGTTTGAGCCTCTGTCCTCCAGGATGCCTTGAGCTGACAACTGATATCTGGTGCCATGTCCCCCACAGCTACAGCAGACAGGTCCAGGAGTGGCCCTGCTCACCATCACGCATGGTTGCCCTTTGCAAGGTGTGTGCTTCCCATCCTCACACACTTGGGATCAGCTGGGTTAGAGGATCTAGTCCTGGGGTAAGGGAGGAATGTGAAACAAAGATTCCACTGATCTGGACACTGCCACAACCACTTGGCCACCTACGGCTCCTCATGCCAGTGACCAACAAAGAGGGGAGTGACTCTACTGCCAGGGGAGTGACTCTACTGCCAGGGGAGTGACTCTACCGCCAGGGGTCACTGATCCTAATTGCCATGAGGAATTAGGTGAGTGGCCCATTTGGAAATGGGAGGAGAATGTCTGGAATAAAACCCAGAGGACTCCTTGGGATATCTCTTATTTTTATTTATTTATTTATTTTTTGAGACAGAGTTTCACTCTTGTTGCCCAGGCTGGAGTGCAATGGCGCTATCTCGGCTTTCTGCAACCTCCGCCTCCCAGGTTCAAGTGATTCTCCTGTCTCAGCCTCCCGAGTAGCTGGGACTATAGGCACCCGTCACCACGCCCAGCTAATTTTTGTATTTTTAGTAGAGATGGGGTTTCACCATGTTAGTGAGGCTGGTCTTGAACCCCTGACCTCAGGTGATCTTTCCACCTTGGCCTCCCAAAGTGCTGGGATTACAGGCATGAGCCACTGTGCCTAGCACCGGTATCTCTTAACATTTCCATGATTGGTAACGGCTGATAATGAGCAAGGCCAACAACACATGCAGACCACTCAGCGCAAACATCACAGACCAGCCAGAGTGCTGGCGGAGAGTGGAGAGGGTCTAGGGTGGGTAGTGCAGGAGGGAAATGATGAGTAACAATGAGCACACCAGGACCGGCCACAGCAGCAGCAGATGACCTTGTTTCACAACCTTCTTGCTTTATTCTTCCTGGTAACCCCAGTGGGCCAGCACCAGGAAATGGCTTCTGTCACTGATGGGATTTGTACCTTCCTGCTCAGGGAAGGAATGAGGATGTTTTTGTTCTCCAAGGAAAACGGAGATTCCCACATTGAAGTAGGAGAGCTGATATCATGGGAGGGCACGAGCAGACCTGAGTAGCGCAAGGTGTGGACTGTATTGGACACAAACCTTGTGCGCCTTCTCAGATTCCCTCGACCACCTCCTTCTTTGTCTCTCTCGATGATGCCTCATCCAGGTCACGCCGTACCTCCACTTCTGGGCTTGTATGAAATGCCACCGTGGAAAATAGGATATGAAAAGAACAGGTCAGATGAATCTCCCCCCACTCTTCCCTCCACGGATGGCTCTGAGGTGTATTTTCTTCTTGTGTAAGTTCTGGAAAAGTCCATGTGCCAGGCAAGCATGCTTGCTGAGCGACCCACCGTGTCTCTGTAGCTCGCTGTGAAGTCTCATCCAGCAAGGGAATGAGCTGGGTGGTCACTTTGATCTCTCCTCTGCCACTTGCCATTGCTCCTTCACTGCCCTGGGATTGCACCTCCCAAAGTGTCAGCTCTTTATTTTTCATTTATTTATTTATTTATTTGAGATGGAGTCTCACTCTGCCGCCCAGGCTGGAGTGCAGTGGCGCGATCTCGGCTCACTGCAACCTCCACCTCCTGGGTTCAAGCGATTCTCCTCCCTCAGCCTCCCGAGTAGCTGGGACTATAGGCGCCCGCCACCACGCCTGGCTAATTTTTTGCATCTTTAGTAAAGACAGGGTTTCACAGTGTTAGTCAGGATGGTCTCGATCTCCTGACCTCGTGATCCACCTGCCTCGGCCACCCAAAGTGCTGGGATTACAGGCGTGAGGCACCGCGCCCGGCCAGCATTAGCTCTTTAATCCCTGCCTTGGGCTATGTTTTCCAGAAGCCCTTCCCCAAAAATGTCCATGGGAAAAAAAAAAAAAATTATATATATATATATATATATATATATATATATAGAGAGAGAGAGAGAGAGAGAGAGAGAGAGAGAGAGAGAGAGAGAGAGAGAGAGAGAGACAGGGCAGCGAATCTGAATCCAGATGCACAGAAAGACCAAAAGCTACCACTCTGGAGCAAAGTACTTAGTCTTATATGGAACTTCCATTCAATGCAAGCTCAAGGTGACCCTGATTCACTGTGAAATTCCCATCCAACCTTCTGCATTCTAATTCAGCAAGCACTTCCTGTGGGCTACTATATAAAGGAACTGTGCTAGAAACTGGGGAGGGAGTAGATACAAAAATAAATACGACACATCTTTCTGGCCTCAATGGTCTAGCTTGGGAAGGACACAGGCCTGTAAATGACAAGCCACTGTTTGTTAACAATAAGTGGGGGGAAATAAATTCAAAATAAGGGAGGTGCTCACTCCATGAAAATTCACTAGCTACATCCTCGTAATTGACCAGTTTTTCTGCATGTATGTTATACTTTTATACTTTATAAAAATTGGCTTTAAAAGCAAACTCCAGGCTGGGTGCGGTGGCTCGCGCCTGTAATCCCAGGACTTCGGGAGGCCGAGGTCGTCAAATCACTTGAAGTCAGGAGTTTGAGACTAGCCTGGGAAACATGGTGAAATCCCGTCTCTACTAAAAATACAAAAATTAGTCAGGCATGGTGGCATGCGCCTGTAGTCCCAGCTACTTGGAAGGCTGAGACACGAGAATCGCTTGAACCTGGGAGGCAGAGGTTGCAGTGAGCCGAGCGAGATTGTGCCACTGCACTCCAGCCTGGGTGACAGAGGGAGACTCCATCTCAAAAAAAAACCCCAAAAAACAAAAAAACCCAGAAATTTATTATCTCACACTTCTGGAGGCTAGAAACCCATAATCAACGTGTTGAAGTCCACAAGAGCTGAAGTCCACGAGAGCCTGGCTAATTTTTGTATTTTTAGTAGAGACAGGGTTTCACTATGTGTGCCAGGCTGGTCTCAAACTCCTGACCTTGTGATCCACCTGCCTCGGCCTCTCAAAGTACTGGGATTACAGGCATTAGCCACCATGACCAGCTGATTTCCTACCTTTTTAAGGCTATCTCCCTGTTGTGTATACATATATACACACACATATATACACACACATATATATATATATTTTGAGATAGAATCTCTCTCTGTCACCCAGGCTGGAGTGCAATGGCACAATCTTGGCTCACAGCAATCTCTGCCTCCTGGGTTCAAACGATTCTCCTGCCTCAGCCTCCCAAGTAACTGGGATTATAGGCACCCACCAATATGCCCAGCTAATGTTTGTATTTTTAGTAGAGACGGGGTTTCATTACGATGGCCAGGCTGGTCAGAAGCTCCTGACCCCAGGTGATCCTCCCACCTTGGCCTCCCAAAGTGCTGGGTTTACAGGCGTGAGCCACCGTGCCCAGCCAATAATTTTAGATCCATCCATCCATCGATGGACATTTAGGTGGGTACTGTGAATAATGCTGCAATGAACATGGCAGTGCTAGTATCTTTGAGATCCTAATTTCAGTTCTTTTGGATAAATGTCCAAAAGTAGGATTCCTGGATCATATGGTAGTTCTATTTTTAATTTTTTGGGGAACCTTTATACTAGGAAATGAACCAATTTAAAATGGGTAAAAAACTTGAGTAGGCACTTCACAAAGGAAGATACCCAAATGGCTGATAAACATATGAAAAAGCACTCAACCTCGTCAGTTATCAGTGAATGCATATGTGTCTCATGATTAAGCAATTTTACTCCTGTGGATTTCGGCATTAGTAATGTGTACATATGCTTACCAGAAGGCAGGTACCAAAATGTTCACAACATTATTCCTAAAAGCCAAAATCTGAAAACAACTTGCAGGTCCATACACACTAGAATGGACAGACAAATGGTGGTTTATCCATTTTGTGGTTCATCCAAATGGGGGAATATAATACAGCAATTAAAACAAATGAGTTAGTTACATATAAGAACCTGGAAGAGGCAGTGGCTCACACCTATAATCCCAACACTTTGGGAGACCATGGCAGGAGGATTGCTTGAAGTTAGATGTTCGAGACCAGCCTGGGTAACAAAGCAAAACCTGTCTCTATAAAAATAAGAAAAAGTTAGCCAGGCATGTTGACATGTGCCTGTAGACCCAGCTACTTGGGAGTCTAAGGCAGAAGGATCCTTTGAGCCCAGGAGTTTGAGGCTACAGTAAGCTATGATTGTACCACTGTACTCTAGCCTAGGTAACACAGCTAGACCCTGTCTCTACAAAAACAAAAAATGAACAAACAAAAAAACCTGGAAAAAATCTCACAAGTATAATGTTGAGCAAAAACAGCCGTGCACTACTGCACCCAGCTAATTTTTGTATTTTTTTTTTTTTTTTGAGACGGAGTCTTGCTCTGTTGCCCAGGCTGGAGTGCAGTGGCGCGATCTTGGCTCACTGCAAGCTCCACCTCCCAGGTTCACGCCATTCTCCTACCTCAGCCTCCCGAGTGCTGGGACCACAGGCACCCACCACCACATCTGGCTAATTTTTTGTATTTTTAGTAGAGATGGGGTTTCACTGTGTTAGCCAGGATGGTCTCTATCTCCTGACCTCGTGATCCGCCCGCCTCAGCCTCCCAAAGTGCTGGGATTACAGGCATGAGCCACCGTGCCCGGCCCTTTATTTTTCTTTGAGACAGTCTCTCTCTGTCACCAGGTTGAAGTGCAGTGGTGTGATCTCGGCTCATGGCAACCTCACCTCCCGGGTTCAAGCAATTTTCCTGCCTCAGCCTCCCGAGTAGCTAGGACTACAGACACGCACCACCACACCCAGCTAATTTTTGTATTTTTAGTAGAGACAGGGTTTCACCATGTTGGCCAGGATGGTCTTGATCTCTTGACCTTGTGATCCACCCGCCTCAGCCTCCCAAAGTGGTGGGATTACAGGTGTGAGACACTGCGCCCGGCCCAGGGTGGTCATGTTTTATTTCTTCATAGGCGTAGTGGTTTTTCAGGGTGTTCATTTTATGAACATTCACTGAGCTAAACACTTATTTGTCTACTTTTCTCTACGCATATTAGACTTAGGTTAAAGTTTATATTTAAAAAAACAGGAATGAGAATTATTTCCTGGCAATGATAGCAGCAACAATGACTGGTTCTTAGGGGCAGCAGAGGCAGCAGTGCCCAGGTGGCATCAACATGCAGTGTCCAGGTATCAGTGTCCTCTCTGGGGTGGTTCTGTGGCATGACTTTGTCCACAGAGCTCGCTGTCCAGCCTCCCTTGTTCTCACCTCTTCTCTGAGAGCTATATTTTCCTGCCTTTCCAGAGATTCTGTGAGCTACCCAAGATCCCTTCTGCATATATATGAGCTTTTCTGCTTAACATATCCAGGTTTGGTTTTCTGTGGTTTTTGACTAAAAACCTGCTGGTGTACTTGGGCACTGGCCACAGAAGGCATGTCAGAGGGCAGGAAGGGCAATGTTTGAGAGACACAGACAGGAGGAAAAGCAGTTTTCAGTTCTTCTACCTCTCAGGTCAAGGGGACACCGTTAGGAGCCTCCTAGGCGGAAGGAAGGAAGCTCAGCTTGTTCATCCTAACTACCACATCCTGAGGACTTACCTTAGCAATGTCTCACATGGACAGCCATTTAAGATGTGATGGAAAAGTAGAGATGGTACCTCCCTGTTCCACATGCATAGGCTGGGGCTCCACAGGACACAGCCACCAAAGCCAGGCCCACCTACCTACTCCCAGCCCCTTCCATGTCTTACCAATTGGGCTACACAGACTTTTGTCACCCAGGTTCACTTATACTCTCAAAAGCCATTAAAGTTAGTCAGATGGTGCCACTCAGACAATGCTCAACATCACAAATGTCAGCCGCTGCCCATCAAATAGAAGCCTCTACTTACGCAGTGCTCACTTTCGGAGATGAGGCTGTCACTCTGAGACCTGACATTGTTTCATTTTTCTACTGGCCTGATTCTTTGCCATTTAAAGTTTCCCTTGAGAAATGTTAAATAAATGCGACTACAAGGACACTTCTAATGTAATTTTAAAAATAACAATTAAAAAGGAGGCCTGGAAGCCATTCTCCCATCACTGAATGTCACATTACTACATTTATTTATTTATTATTTATTATTTACTTTAAGTTCTGGGATACATGTGCAGAACGTGCAGGTTTGTTACTCAGGTATCCATGTGCCATGGTGGTCTGCTGCACCTATCAACCCGTCATCTAAGTCTTAAGCCCCACATGCATTAGGTATTTGTCCTAATGCTCTCCCTCTCCTTGTCCCCACCCTCTGACAGACCCCAGTGTGTGATGTTCCCCTCCCCGTGTCCATGTGTTCTCACTGTTCAGCTCCCACTTATGAGTGAGAATATGTGTTTAGTTTTCTGTCCCTGTGTTAGAATGCTGAGAATGATAGCTTCCAGCTTCATCCAGGTCCCTGCAAAGGACATGAACTCATTCTTTTCTATGGCTGCATAGTATTCCACGGTGTATATGTGCCACATTTTCTTTATCCAGTCTATCATTGATGGGGATTTGGGTTGGTTCCAAGTTTTGCTATTGTAAATGACATCTCTACATTTTTACACAGACATAGGATGAGAGTAATTTATGAAGCACAGCATTCCTATCAATACAACTTTCATCTATGTAGCACTTCACCTTCTATGGGAGCCTATCATGAACATGACTGTTTTGGCCGGGGGGCTCATGCCTGTAATCCCAGCACTTTGGGAGGCTGAGGTGGGCATATCACTTGAGGCCAGGAGTTTGAGATCAGCCTAGGCAACACGGCGAAACCCCATCTCTACTAAAAATACAAAAATCAGCCAGGCGTGGTGGTGCACACCTGTAATCCCAGCTACTTGGGAGGCTGAGGCATGAGAATCACTTGAACCTGGGAGGCAGTGAGCTAAAATTGCACCACTGCACTCAGCCTGGGTGACAGAGTGAGACTCTGTCTCAGGAAAAAAAAAAAAAAGACTCTTTTGACCCTCACAAGGGCCATAAATTAGAAAAGCAGACATTGATTCATTTAGCAAATATTTATCAAGTATTATCAAGTATATTCCATATGTCAGGTACTTGTTGGAGGAAATTAGCCCCATTTTACAGCCAGGAAAGGGGAGGAGATCAGGAAAGGACAAATCACTTGCCCTGGTCCATAGAACTGGTGAATACCAAAGGCAGAACTAGAATTTGTTTTTTTTGTGTGTTTTTTTTTTTGTTTTTGTTTTTGTTTTTGTTTTTTGGTGGAGGGGGCTGAAGAGTCTCACTCTGTCTCCCAGGCCGAAGTGCAGTGGTGCGATCTCAGCTCACTACAACCTCTGCCTCCCGGGTCCAAGTGATTCTCATGCTTCAGCCTCCCGAGTAGTAGCTGGGATTACAGGTGCATGCCACCATGCCTGGCTAATTCTTGTATTTTTAGTAGAGACAGGGTTTCACCATGTTGGCTAGGCTGCTGGTGTTGAACTCCTGGCCTCAAGAGATCTGACTGCCTTGGCCTCCCAAAGTGCTGGGATTACAGGCCTGAGCCACTGCACCCAGCCTATAATTTGTTTTTGTTTTTTTTTTGTTTTTTTGTTTTTTTGTTTTTGAGACAGAGTCTTGCTCTGTCACCCAGGCTGGAGTGCAGTGGCACGATCTCAGCTCACTGCAAGATCCGCCTCCTGGGTTCACGCCATTCTCCTGCCTCAGCCTCCCGAGTAGCTGGGACTACAGGCGCCTGCCACCACGCCCGGCTAATTTTTTTTTGTATTTTTAGTAGAGAGGGAGTTTCACCATGTTAGCCAGGATGGTCTCGATCTCCTGACCTCGTGATCCACCCGCCTCGGCCTCCCAAAGTGCTGGGATTACAGGCGTGAGCCACTGCGCCCGGCTTATAAATTGGTTTCTTTGCCACCAGCACAGGGCTCTTTCCATGGAGCACACTGGGATATCTGTCCAGAAATAATATTTTGGTTTACTTTATCATTGTCTGTTATGCACAGTTCACAAGCTAAAGCACAAGTTCCATGAGACACGGACCTGGACTGTCTCGTCCCTGCCCCGCTCATAGCAAGATGTGTTAGGTCCACACAAAACCCTGCAAACGGGTGTTTATAGCAGCTTTATTCATAACTGCCAAAA
Source organism: Homo sapiens (assembly GCF_000001405.40). Classification (NCBI taxonomy): domain Eukaryota; kingdom Metazoa; phylum Chordata; class Mammalia; order Primates; family Hominidae; genus Homo; species Homo sapiens. Next base: position 30,724,642 of record NC_000022.11, on the reverse strand, counting down.
TACGCATGCAACCAAAATGTCCTTCAGTGACTGAACAGATAAACTATAGTCCATCTAGACAATGAAATATTATTCAGTGCTAAAAAGAAATGAGCTAACAAACCATGAAAAGACATGGTGGAAGCTGGGCATGGTGGCTCACGCCTGTAATCCCAGCACTTTGGGAGGCCAAGGTGGGTGGATCACCTAAGGTCAGGAGTTGGAGACCAGCCTGGTCAACATGGTGAAACCCCATCTCTACTAAAAATATAAAATAAACTAGCCGGGTGTGGTGGCAAGCACCTGTAATCCCAGCTACCCAGGAGGCTGAGGCAGGAGAATCAATTAAGCCTGGAAGATGGAGGTTGCAGTGAGCTGAGATCAAGCCACTGCACTCCAGCCTGAGCGACAGAGTGAGGCTCCGTCTCAAAACAAACAAACAAACAAAAACCAGACATGGTGGAAATTTAAATGCATATTACTAAGGGAAAAAAGCCAATCCAAAAAGGCTAAATACTGTATATACTGTGTGATTCCAACTACCTGACTTTCTGGAAAAGGCAAAACTAATGGAGACGGTAAAAAGATCAGTGGTTGCTTGGGGTTAGGGGATGGGGAGTGATGAATAGGCAGAGCACAGACTGATTTTTAGGGCAGTGAAAATACTCTGTATGATACCGTAATGGTGGATACATGCCATTAGACATTTGTCCAAGTCCATAGAAGGTACCGCACCAAGAGTGAACCCTAATGTAAACCATGCACTGTGGGTAATAACGATGTGGGTTCATCCACTGTAACAAACAGACCACTCTGATGGGGATGTTGGTAACGGGGGACGATATGCCTGTGTCGGGAGAGAGTAGATGGGAAATCCTGTACCTTCTGCTCAATTCTGTTGTGAATCTAAAACTGCTGTAAATAGGTAAGGTTTTTTTAAATAAAAATCTGGCCGGGTGCGGTGGGTCATGCCTGTAATCCCAGCACTTTGGGAGGCTGAGGAGGGTGGATCACTTAAGGTCAGGAGTTCGAGACCAGCCTGGCCAACATGGTGAAACCCCGTCTCTACTAAAAATACAAAAATTATCTGGGCGTGGTGGCACACGCCAGTAATCCTAGCTGCTTTGGAGGCTGAGGCAGGAGAATCGCTCGAACTTGGGAGGCAGAGGTTGCAGCGAGCCGAGATCACGCCACTGCACTCCAGCCTAGGCAACGGAGCAAGACTCTGTCTCAGGAAAAATAAATACATAAATAAATAAGGCTGGGTGTGGTGGCTCACGCCTGTAATCCCAGCAATTTGGGAGGCTGAGGCGGATGGATCATGAAGTCAGGAGTTCAAGACCAGCCTGACCAATATGGTGAAACCCCGTCTCTACTAAAAATACAAAAATTAGCTGGGCTTTGTGGTTCGCACCTGTAGTCCCAGCTACTCAGGAGGCTGAGGCAGGAGAATCGCTTGAACCCAGGAGACAGAGGTTGCAGTGAGTTGAGATTGTGCCACTGCACTCCAGCAAAAAATAAATAAATATATATTAGAAGAAATATCAACCAATTGTAATGTATGAAAGTTATTTGAGGCAGGTGTGGTGGCTCATGCCTGTAATCCCAGCAACACTTTGGAAGGTCGAGGCAGGAGGATCACTTGAGCCCAGGAGTTCAAGACTAACCTAGGCAATATAGTGAGATCCTGTCTTTACTAAAATTCAAAAAGAATTATCCTGATGTGGTGGCACACGCCTGTAGTCCCAGCTCTTCGGAGAGCTAGGTGGGAGGATCACTTGAGCTCAGAAGGTAAAAGCCGCAGTGAACTGTGATCACGCCACTGCACTCCAGCCTGGGTGACAGAGTGAGACTCTGTCAAAAAAAAAAAAAAAAAGACAGAGAGAGAGAAAGAAAGAAAGAAAAAGAAAGAGAGAGAAAGAGAAGGAAGGAGAAAGAGAAAGAAAGAAAAAAGAGAAAGAAAGAAAAAAGAGGAAAGAAAAGAAAGAAAGAGAAAAAGAGAGGGAAGGAAGGAGAAAGAGAAAGAGAGAAAGAAAGAAAAAAGAGAAAAGAAAGAAAGATCAGGATCTTGACTTCCAGAAACTATAAACAAAATTATAAATCAGTGGGGAAATTTGAGTATTGACTAGATATTTGATAACATTAAGTAATTATTGTTAAATTTTTAGGTATGTTGGTACTGTTCTGATTACTTTAAAAAAACTCTAAAGAGATACACACTGTACTAAAATATTTATAAATGAAAGTTAAGGTTGGGTGGGATTTGACTGAGTGTGGACCCTTGATTGACCCTAAGGTGAGACTTGTTGACACTGGGTGATGGGGACAAGGATTTCATCACGCCAACATCTCCATTTTTGTATATTTTGAAAATTTCCAAAATAAAAAATAAAATCTGTAAGTATTGTTTAAATCTTCCCTGTGTATAGCCATGACAAACAGCAGCACTGAATGACTTTGGTGACAAAGGGGATCTCTTGAGTCCCAGGGAGCCAGGCAGAGGAATGAGGCTGCACACTAAGTGTCTCAAGACAAGAAGCTGGGAGCTGGCAGGGTCTCTAGGGCACAGGGCTGGATCTATTTCAAGCATAGCTGTGGGCCTATACATCCAGATCCTCCTCCACAGAATTCAGGATACTTGAGCAGATTTGTTTTTTAAATCATCACACAATCTCGGTAGCTGCAGCCACAATCTATAGGATATTCCTGCAACCCAGATTCTTCCTTTCACAAGCTTAAAAGTCCCGCAGCACAAAAACCTACCAAAATACTACACTAAGCAAAGTTTCTAAAAACGAAAACCAGTTACTAAGCCAAGTGAAAGATTGAAATGCCATGAATTTGAGATAATTAAGGAAACATTTAACTCCAAATTTAACACTCCAAGGCCAATTATAAATTTAAATGTTCGGATTACAATATGAGTTTACAGATCTGATGGTGAGACATACAATTTATTCAGGAATTTTGCTTCTTCCCTTCATGGCCTCCAGTATTATAGACACTGACACAAACAATAGATGAAATGGTCTTATGTAAAAGCGACTCCCATCAAGCTTCACTTGAAGCAGGAATGGCAGGTAAACTCCTGTCGAAACACAACAGCAGCCTGCAGAACCAAAGACCCCACACCATAGGCAGTTGCAGACTCCCCAAACAGAGTCTGCGTGGGAGACCACCTTCACCCCTGCTCTGCACACTCGTCCTTCATTCAGTCAGCGCAGCATTCACTGAGGGCCTGCCACAGGCCAGGCACTGGGTTCAGAGTGGTGAATGAGACAGATGAGATCCCGGCCTCCATGGGGCAGCTAGTCTTCTGGGCCCCCATAGCACCCAGTAACCAATGACATGTGACCTTCTTTCTCCCATGCACCATTTGTCTTTTGGGTTTGTTTGTTTGTTGTTTTTTTGTTTTGTTTTGGTTTGGTTTGGTTTTTTTAGATGGAGTCTCCCTCTGTCACCCAGGCTGGAGTGCAGTGGTGCATATCAGCTCCCTGCAATCTCTTCCTCCTGGGTTCAAGCAATTCTCCTGCCTCAGCCTCCCAAGTAGCTGGGATTACAGGCACCCGCCACCATGTCTGGCTAATTTTTTTGTATTTTTAGTAGAGACGGGGTTTCACCATGTTGACCAGGCTAGTCTCGAACTCCTGACCTCAAGTGATCTGCCTGCCTCGGCCTCCCACAGTGTTGGGATTACAGGCGTGAGCCACCGTGCCAGGCCTCCCATCTACCATTTGGACTGAGCAAGGGAAGGACTCCATCAGCAGAGAAGGGTCTCCCACAACAAGGTTCCACAACCTGGCTGCTCCCCAAGGAGGCCTCAACTATGTCTTCCTCATCCTCTGGCAAAGCCAGTCCTGCCTTCCTGTTAAACAGGAATATGGGAGTTAAACAGGAGGGTCTCATTAGTTAAGCATTCATTACTAGCAAAACCCTTTTATTAAAAAATATCCCTTACACTTATGAAACAGTTTGCCAAGTACTTCCCTTTTTGTTTCAAATAGCCAAGCAGGGCTGTTGACAGATAAGGAAAGTGAAGGTCATGGATGTGTAGTGTTTTCCTCCCACACTGACCAGAGATCACCTGTGTAACTAAGAGGATATTGAGTGTGCATTTCAGGGTAGGCACACTGGAGTTCCTGCCTAACTCTGTCTTGGCTCGCTCTCCCTTAGAAAAGCCAGCTGTCATGTTGTGAGGACACTCGAGCGGCCCTTTGGAGAAATCCACAGGGTGAGGAACTGAGGCCTCCTGCCAATTGCCTGCACCATTTTGCCAGGCGTGTGAGTGAGCCACAATGGAAGTGGAGTCTCCAGCCAGTCAAGCCTTCAAATGACCGCAGCCCTCATGACAGATCCTGAGCCCACTCAGGATCACCCCAATTAATCACCCATAGGTGAATTCATGATCCATGGAAACAATGAGATAATGCTTATTGTTGTCTTACAGTGCTAAATTTCAAGGTGATTTGTTATGCGGCAACAGATAATACACAGTAACACTGAGACAGCCTCTCTGAAGATGAAAAGTACATCCATGTGGAAGGGATAACCCCAGCTGTGTGGGACAGAGAAATATCCCAATGAGGACAGAGGTTGCACGGAAACCTATCTCAGCTCAACAGAAGGATTTTCTAACATTCAGAGTTGTTTAAGGAACAATCAGCTTATCTTAGAGGTTTGCTCTCTGTTACCTGAGAGGTGATAAGGGGGTTGAGATGCTATGGGAAGAAGTCAATGAACAGAGAGATGGTTGGCTTGATGGCACTTTTTGTTGTTGTTGTTGTTCCCTTGTTGTTTGTTTGTTTGTTTTTGAGAGATGGGTTCTATGTTGTCCAGGCTGGTCTTGAACTCCTGGCCTCAAGCTATCCTGGCTCTGGCTCAGTGACTTTTTTTTTTTTTCTTTTTTTTTTGAGACAGAGTCTCACTTTGTTGCCCAGGATAGAGTGCAGTGGTGCCATCTCAGCTCACTGCAACCTCTGCCTCCTTGGTTCAAGCAATTCTCATGCCACAGCCTTCCAAGTAGCTGGGATTACCGGGGTGCGCCACCACTCCCGGCTTATTTTGTATCTTTGGTAGAGATGGGATTTTGCCATGTTGGCCAGGCTGGTCTCAAACTCCTGGCCTTAAGTGATCCACTCACCTTGGCCTCCCAAAGTGCTGGGATTACAGGTGTGAGCCACTGTGCCTGGCCTTGGTGACTTTTAAGTTCCTTACCTAGAGATTCTTCTGCCACCACACCAGGCAACTTTTCCAGGGCCCTGGAAAATCTAATCAGCTTCCCATTCATGGCACATCTCTGCAGTGTGTGGCTGGCTATCAGTTACTGAACACTGATTTACTGTGGGCTGGGACTTCTGGGAGGGAACAGACAAAACATGAGCTACTGGTCCTGCCACACAGCTGCACATGCACACATAATGACACACACTGCCACCGAGCACAAACTAAGGCTGAAAGAGAAGGGGAGTGAGGAGGGCAGCAGCCTGAAGCCAGGGATAATGTTGAGAGGACTGCGAGGCACTCAGGTAAGTACAGGCTGGAGAGAAGGCACAGCGGGAATCAGCTCAAGGTTAAGAACACTCTAATCCCGTCTCTAGAAGGCAAAGGCTCAGTAAGCTGACAGATAAATTCAAACTCAGAAGAACTGCAGGATTCAAAAGAAGAAAATTGCTTCCATGCCTGTATCTAGCAAAATAATTTTATTTTCTGAAAATAAAAAATTCAAAGAAGGTGCCTTTCTTGTCACAGTGCATGAACAACTCAGCAAAAAGTCCCCACTCAGTCTGCCCGCAAGGCTCCCAAGTCTGAGAACCAGAACACACCATCAGCCCTGTTCCCATGCTGCCCCAGGGCTCAGGAGCAAGGGCCCAGGCCATTTCTGCAACAAATCTGTTAGTACTGGCAGGGGGAAAAAAAAGGGGGAGACAAGCACCCGGATGTTGTCACTGCAACTCCGAAGTTGTAAAGTTGCAACTCCAACAGCAGTGCCCAGGGCCTGTGGCCCCAGGGGCAGGAAGGCCAGTGAACACCTGAGGCCCAGCTAAAGCATCCCCCATTCTTTCCCTACCAGGTCAGTCACCAGATTCCTGGCCTCCTGGACTCAGATCTCCAAGCCATTAAGTCAACAGACATTTCCCGAGTCCTTTGATGTGCCAAGCCCAGTGCCAAGCATACAGGTCATCTTTTATATCTCATCTCTCCTCCTCCTCCTTCCAGATGGTTTCCCATCAAATTTTCAGAAAGGTAAGGATAGAAAGAACCCCAGACATCACCTAGCCTAGTCCTCTCACTCTATAGATAAAGAGGCTAAAGGATGTGATCGTTAGAAGGGAGGTTAGAGGCTGTGACAGACTGAAGCATTTCTCCTGTTTCTTTCTGCCATCCCTGAACTACAATTTTAAGTGCACAACTTTTGCCACTGGACTTTGTAGGATCCTCTAAAATGGGGAATGGATATCTTCCCACCCTACTGATATTGGACAGGGCCACATGCCTTGATTCAGCCAATGGAATGTGGAATGGAGTGAGGGTGTGCAGGCTCAAGCTGGGATGCTGTGACTCTCGATTACCCTCCTGTACTTCTGCCATCACAACAGGAAGACACACCTCCTAGCTTACTCCCAAGTGCCACTGCCTGAAGGAGACCTGGCCTGGTCATCTGCGGACCCTCAAGCAAGAGAAAACCACTGCTGCTTTAACCTCAGAGTTTAAATCACCACTGGGCAATGTGTTTTGAAGTTGCTTGATCCAGGAGGACAGGTGAGCTGAGGACTCGATTCTAACTCCCGCCCACCCTCGCCTGTCAGAATGCACACACAACCCATTGTCACTGAGGTGTCAGAGTAGAGCAAGGGATCAGCAGGAGATGATGATGCTGGAGAGGCAGAGATGAGGCCAGTCCTGAGGGGGAGTCATGTTGGCACATATTTGAGATGAATAGAAGATGAATAAGGAGACTCTAAGTGTCAAAATAAGAGTCTCAACCAGCAATCTTTGTCATCAACCTAAGGATCTGCTTTTGACTTCCATCTGCTTTCTTACAGGCTATGGCAATCATTCTTTTTGTAAGTACAGGGCTTTATAGCTAGTGAGCAAAGCCTAGAGATGTGAGAAGGGACTCTAGAGGTCCACTTTCCTGGATGTAACTTCCCATCTGGTCCTGGATGGCACAGCTGCAGCTGGACAGTAAAACATGTGTCATTTCCCCTTAGTGTAGGCGTTTTTCAAAAGGCCTTGATTTTTTCCCTGTGTCAAATGATCTTTGGCAAGGATGCCAAGATGACTCAGTGGGGGAAAGGACAGTCTCTTCAACAAATGATGTTGAAAAAACTGGATGTCCTTGTGCAAAAGAATGAAGTTAGACCCTTATCTCACACCATATGCAAAAATTAACTCAAAATGGATTAAAGACCCAGCAAGGTGCAGTGGCTCTTGCCTATAATCCCAGCTACTTGGGAGGCTGAGGTAGGAGAATCACTTGAGGCCAGGAGTTCAAGATCAGCCTGAGCAACATAGCGAGACCCTGTCTCTACACACACACACACACACACACACACACACACACACACACACAAAAACAGTAAAATTAAAACAAAATAGATTTAAATGCCTAAATGTAACATCTGTACAACTCCTAGAGAAAACCATAGGCATAAAGTTTCATGACATTGGATTTGGCAATGATTTCTTGGATATGACACCAAAAGCACAGGCAACAAAAGCAAAAACAGACAAATGGGACTCCATCGAAGGACACAACTTAAGTTCCTTGAAGGACACAATCAACAAAGTAAAAAGGAAACTTATGGAATAGGAGAAAATATTTGCTAATCATATATCTGACAGTGGGTTAATGTCTAGAATGTAAGAAGAACTTCTACAACTCAACAACAAAAATCAAATAAATGATTAAAAAATGAGCAAAGGGGCTAGGCATGGTGGCTCACACCTGTAATCCCAGCATTTTGGGAAGCTGAGGCGGGCAGATCACTTGAGGTCAGGAGTTCGAGACCAGCCTGGCCAACATGGTGAAATCCCATCTCTACAAAAATACAAAAAATTAGCCAGGCGTGGTGGTGGGCACCTGTAATCCCAGCTACTCAGAAGGCTGAGGCAGGAGAATTGCTTGAACCTGGGAGGCGGAGGTTGCAGTGAGCCGAGATTGAGCCATTGCACTCCAGCCCGGGCAACCATGTGAGACTCTGTCTCAAAAAAACAAAAAACAAAACAAAACAAAAAAACAAACAAACAAAAAAAGGATTTGAACAGACATTTCTCTAAAGATGTTATACAAACGATCAACAAGCATATGAAAAGATGCTCAGCCAGGTGTGGTGGCTTATGCCTGTAGTCCCAGCACTTTGGGAGGCTGAAACAGGCAGATCACCTGAGGTCAGGAGTTCAAGACCAGCCTGGCCAACATGGCAAAACCCCATCTCTACTAAAAGTACAAAAATTAGCTGGGTGTGGTGGCAGGCACCTGTAATCACAGCTACTCAGGAGGCTGAGGCAGAAGAATCACTTGAACCCAGGAGGTGGAGGTTGCAGTGAGCCGAGACCATGCCATTGCACTCCAGCCTGGGCGACAAGAGCGAGATTCTGTCTCAAAAAAAAAAAAAAGAAAGAAAGAAAGAAAGAAAAGATGCTTGTGGTTGGGCATGGTGGCACAGGCCTGTAATCCCGATACTTCGGGAGGCTGAGGTGGGATACTTTGGGAGGCTGAGGTGGGAGGATCACTTGAGCCCAGGAATTCGAGACCAGCTTGGATAACACTGCAAGATCCTGTGTTAAAAAAAAAAAAAAAAAAAGGTTAGGTGTGGTGGCTCATGCTTATAATCCCAGCACTTTGGGAGGCCAAGGTGGGAAGGTCGCCTGCGGTCAGGAGTTCAAGACCAGCCTGGCCAACATGTTGAAACCCCGTCTCTACTAAAAACACAAAAAATTAACTGGACATGGTGGCAGGCACCTGTAATCAATCACAGCTACCTGGGAGGCTGAGGCAGGAGAATCGCTTGAACCCAGGAGGCAGAGGTTGCAGTGAGCCGAGATGGCGCCATTGCACTCCAGCCTGGGCAACAAGAGTGAAACTCCACCTCAAAAAAAAAAAAAAATCTAAAAATTAGCCATGTGTGGTGGTGTGCACACCTGTATTCCCAGCTACTCAGGAGGCTGAGGTGGGAGGATCACTTGAGCCCCAGAGGTTGGGGCTGCAGTGAGCCATGATCATGCCACTACACTCCAGCCTGGACAATGAAGCAAGACTCTGTCCCCTCCTCCCTGGCCAAAAAAAAAAAAAGAGAGAGAGAGATGCTCATCACTTATCATCACAGAAATGCAAATCAAAACCACAATAGATACCATCTCACATCCATTAGGATGGCTACTATCAAAAACAAAACAAAACAAAAACAGAAAATAAATCATTGGCAAGGACGTAGAGAAACTGGAACCTTTAAGAAACATTGTTGGGCCAAGCACAGTAGCCCATGCCTGTAATCTCAGCACTTTGGGAGGATGAGGAGAGAGGATTCCTTGAGCCCAGGAGTTCCAGGCTAACCTGAGCAACATAGCAAAATCCCATCTCTACAAAATAAAATTAAAAAAAAAAAAGAAACATTTTCAGTGGGAATGTAAAATGGTATAATCACTACAGAAAACAGTATGGAGATTCCTAAAAAAATTAAAAATAGAACTACCATATGATACAGCAATACCACTTTTGCGTATATATCCAAAAGAAACAACAGAAGGCTGGGCGTGGTGGCTCATGCCTGTAATCCCAGCAGTTTGGGAGGCCAAGGTGAGTGGATCACTTGAGGTCAAGAATTCAAGGCCAGCCTGGCCAACATGGTGAAACCCCATCTCTACTAAAATACAAAAATTAGCCAGGCATGGTGGTGGGCACCTGTAATCCCAGCTACTCGGGAGGCTGAGGCAGGAGAATCGCTTGAACCCGGGAGGCAGAGGTTGCAGTAAGCCAAGATCACACCATTGCACTCCAGCCTGGGCAAGAGTGAAACTCCGTCTCAAATAAAAAGAAATAGAAAGTAGAATGGTGGTGACCAGGGGTAGGGAAAGGGGAAAAGGGGAGGAGTTGTCCAATGAACATAGAGTTTCATATTTGCAGGATGAAAACATTTTGGAGATGTGTTTCACAGCAACGTGAAATACACCATGCTACTGAACTGTACACTTAAAAATAGTTAAGATAGTAAATTTTACGTTATGTGTTTTTTACTACAACAAAAAAAAAACACAAGAAAAAAAATCAGTGTGTTGAAGAGATATCTGCACTTCCATATTTATTGTAGAACTATTCACAATAGCCAAGATATGGAATCCGCCTAAGTGTCCAGCAGATGAATGGATAAAGAAAATGTGGTATATATACACAATGGAATACTATTCAGCCATTAAAAAAGAATGAAATCTTGTATGTGCACAACATGCATGAGCCCAGAGAACATTATGTTAAGTAAAACAAGCCAAGCATGAAAGACAAATACCACATGTTCTCACTCACATGTGGAGGCTGAAAAAGTCAATCTCATAAAAGTAGAGAGTAGCATAGTAGTTATTAGAGGCTGGGAAGGATAGAGGGAAGTGGGGGAGAAGGAGAGGTTGGTTAATGGATACAGAACTACAGCTAGACAGGAGGAATAAGTTCTAGTGTTCTACAGCACTGTAGGGTGACTACAGTTAATAATAATGTATTGTATATTTTCAAATAACCGGAAGACAGGAGTTTGGATGTTCCCAACACAAAGAAATGATAAATGTTTGAGGTGATGGATATGCTAGTTACTTTGATTTGATCATTACACGTGGTATACATGAGCCAAAATATCACCCTGTACCCCAAAAATACATATAATTATGATGTGTCAATGAAAACAATTTTAGGTTGACTGTAATAGCTCACATCTGTAATCTCAGTATTTTGGGAGGCCAAGATGGGAGGATCACTTGAGCCCAGGAGTTAGAGACCAGCCTGGGCAACATAGCAAGACCCTGTATCTAAAATAATTGTTTAAAACTTAGCCAAGCATAGTGGTGTGCATCTGTAGTCCCACCTACTTGGGAGGCTGAGGTGGGAGGATCACTTGAGCCTGGGAGGTTGAGGCTGCAATGAGCTGTAATCATGCCACTGCACTCTAGCCTGGGTAACAGAGCAAGACCCTGTCTAAATAAATAAATAAATAACATTTTAAAAATAAAATAAAATACTTCATTGGTTCCCAACCCATGTTAGGAAGAAAAGAAAAAAATCATAAAAATAAAATAAAATGAGCTGGGTGCAGTGGCTCACGCCTGTAATCCCAGCACTTTGGGAGGCTGAGGGCAGATCACGAGGTCAGGAGATCAAGACCATCCTGGCTAACACGGTGAAACCCTGTCTCTACTAAAAAATAGAAAAAATTAGCCGGGCGTGGTGGCGGGCGCCTGTAGTCCCAGCTACTAGGGTGGCTGAGGTAGGAGAATGGCGTGAACCCAGGAGGCGGAGCTTGCAGTGAGCCGAGATCACGCCACTGCACTCCAGCCTGGGCGACAGAGTGAGACTCTGTCTCAAAAAAAAAAAAAAAAATTAGCCAAGTGTGGTGATGCACGCCTGTAGTCCCAGCTACTCTGGAGGCTGAGGTGGAGAAGGATTGCTTGAGTGCAGAACATTGAGGCTGCAGTGAGTCGTGATGGTGCCACTGTACCACTCCAGCCTAGGTGACAGAGTAAGACTATATCTCAAAAAAAACAACAAAAACCAAAAACAAACCAAAAAACCAGGGCTCCTTCCTTTACTGGCAGCCCAAGAAGCAGGCCTGGCACATAGAGGGCACTAGACAGATACATTGCTGGGTAAATAAATAAAAGAATAAAGAGCTGAGGTTATGTCCATAATGACCCCAAGATACAACCTGTATATGGACAGAAATGATGAACAGTGATGCAAGTTGCTGGGCCTTAGACAAAGCAACTACACTTTCTGTGCCTTGTTTTCCCCATCTGTAAAATGAGGGTGATCCTGGACGCTCCAGTTCCCTCCCAGGTCACGAAGACTGGAAGTGTGATGAAGTAGATCCACACATATAAAAGATTATTTCCTGCAATATTCTATTCCTGATCAGTTTTCTGCTTTTCATTTCATACAATGTGCAAAAGGATGAGAGAGGATTCTGAGGTTCCATAGCAGCTGGGAGCCCTGACCTCATGGAAATGGCCATCCACATCCTTACTTAATACTTTCAAAGGACCCAGAACCAACAAATACACATCTGGCACTCTCCTCCCAGGGCAAATGAAGGAGGTGGGAAGGCTTGAGCACATTTCAGTTCAACAAGAATTTCCTGGGCTCCTCCTCTCCCAGCTGATGTACTGCTCTAGAGAAACAAAGATGTCATTCTGCCAGGTGGGAGGAAAAGGTGAGGTGGGAGGGTTAGGTCAAGTCCCAAGGTTTGGAGAAGAAAGAGGAGGAGGGTAAGGAGGAAGCTGGAGGCAAAAACTACCAATGGTAAAGGAGATCTGGAGAACAGGGTCTGAAACAGTCTGACACGCTCTGTCTTTCTCAAAGAGTTGCTCCCCCATGGACCCACTTGCCATTGATCTCCGTTTGGGTCACTTGCATTATCCTGTGTATTACACCAGTGTTGGCCTGCACCTTTCGTGTCACGTGAGTACCTCTGGGAGAGATGTATGAAGCCCAGTCTGGAGTCTAAGCATTAGCTGAATAAAGTGACAAAGTCTTTCTACAGGTCTCCAGAGACCTATGTCATCAAACCAGCTTTGAGATAATGATGATTACCAACCCACCCCAGCTAAAGGGGACCAGGCAGACACCATGGTGGGCTTCAGCAAGGAGATGAAACACAGAGAAAATGAGTTCTACCTAAGCAAAAATACTGTGGACTTAATTTTTTTTTTTTTTTTTTTTTTGAGATAGGGTCTCATTGTGTCACCCAGGCTGGAGTGCAGTAATGTGATCTTGGCTCAGTGCAACTTCTGCCTCCCAGGCTCGAGTGACCCTCCCACTTCAGCCTCCTGAGTAGCTCGGACCACAGGCACACACCGCCATGCCTGGCTGATTTTTGCATTTTTTGTAGACATGGGGTTTTGCCATGTTGCCCAGGCTGGTCTCAAACTCCTGGACTCAAGGGATCCACCCACCTTGGCTACCAAAGTGCTGGGATTACAGACCTGAGCCACTGAGCCAGGCCTGGTCTTAATTTTGTGTTGAGAATACCAGTATGAACTGATAATATATTCTATCTTTAAAGAGAACAAACACATTGTTTGTTTGCTTTATACCGAGCCAGGATATAAATGTATTTATATATATATGTATGTACATATATATAGTATCAAACATTGTATAAATATATATATTTCCTAGTTCTGTATAAAACAAAATATAGATATTTCCTAGCTTTTATAAAACAAACACACATAAATATATATATATATATTTCCTAGCTCTATACACTAAAAAGACCTAGAAACAATGACCAACTGGGTGACAATGACCCCTTATGGCACCAAGATTATGATCTTCAAACACTATTTCCCACCAAAAAGAAATGTGGCTCCTTGGAGAAATGGCTGACTCCAGGCCTGGGACAAGACAAGTACAAGGCTGGGCGCAGTGACTCACGCCTGTATTCCCAGCACTTTGGGAGGCCGAGGCAGGCGGATCGCCTGAGGTCAAGGAGTTCGAGACCAGCCTGGCCAACATGGTGAAACTGTCTCTACTAAAAATACAAAAATTAGCCGGGCGTGGTGGCAGGCGCCTGTAATCCCAGCACTTTGGGAGGCCGAGGCAGGCACATCACCTGAGGTCAGGAGTTTGAGACCAGCCTGGCCAACATGGTGAAACCCCATCTCTACTAAAAATACAAAAATAAGCCTGGCGTGGTGGCACATGCCTGTAATCCCAGCTACTAGGGAGGCTGAGACAGGAGAATCGCTTGAACCTGGGAGGTGGAGGTTACAGTGAGCTGAGATCGCACCACTGTACAGCACCCTGGGTGACAGAGTGAGACCCTGTCTCAAAAAAATACACACTAAAAAAAAAAAAAGACAAGTATAAGAAGAGCCTGGAACATGTTTTCAAGCCAGACAGCAAGGAAGCTATTAAACACTAATTCTATCAGGGGTCCTTCCAAAGGACTCTAGGGCCAACTTGAAGAGACTTCCACTAACTAAAGACATGGCCGGACAACATGAGCATCTTTAAGGGTAATGACAGTAGTGGGAAACACATCAAACATGCTGATATCTATGAGAGGTAATGATGCTTAAGAAAACACAACTAATTGGCCACCACTAGAAGAGAAGTGCCAACTCATTATTTTGAAAATTTTTGAAAACAAAACAAAACAAAACAGGAAAGAGTCAAGCACTGATTCTGCTCTTCCTGTGTGAACTGCACCTCTGAGTAACCATCGAGTAGCAGATGAGGGGAAGTTTCTCTTTGTAGAAGTATTCTTGCTAAGGCGGGGCACGGTGGCTCACACCTGTAATCGCAGCACTTTGGGAGGCTGAGTGGGGGAATCACCTGAGGTCAGGAGTTCAAGACCGGCCTGGCCAACATGGTGAAACCCTGTCTCTACTAAAAATACCAAAAAAATTAGCCAGGCATGGTGGTACATGCCCATAATTCCAGCTACTCGGGAGGCTGAAGCAGGAGAATTGCTTGAACCTGGGAGGCAGAGATTACAGTACGCTGAGATTGCACCACTGCACTCCAGCCCGGGTGACAAAGCAAGACTCCATTTCAGAAAAAAAAAAAAAGTATCCCTGCCAATAAATGAGGATGAAGTGATAGAATTAGACTAATCTGGGCTGGGCGAGGTGGCCTTACATCTGTAATACCAGCACTTTGGGAAGCCAAGTGTGGGCTCACTTGAGCCCAGGAGTTCACAAACCAGCCTGGGTGACACAGCAAGACCCCATGTCTTAAAAAAAAAAAATTTTTTTTAAATAATTAGACTAATTTGGCCAGGTGCGGTGGCTCATGCCTGTAATCTCAGCACTTCAGGAGGCTGAGGCAGGAGAACTGGTTGAATCTGGGAGGTGGAGTTTGCAGTAAGCCGAAATCATACCACTGCACTCCAGCCTGGAGACAGAGTGAGACTCTGTCTCAAAAAAAAACAAAAAACAAACAAACAAAAAACAATTAGACTAATCTAAGATTGATCATCACTAGCTGCTAACATCACAAAAAAAGAGAAGCCACCAACTCCTGATGGAAGAACACACCACCACCTATTCAACTTTCTAGATCCATCTGTCAAACTAAGACCTTACAGAGGAGAGAGGAACATGTTAACCTACACCAAGAAAATGCCATCAGTAAAATCCAGACTGTGGGAAATTCTATGGGTAGATCTTGGTTGAGTCCCAATACAAACAAATGTATCCAAAAAAAAATTTATGACATTTGAAACCACTGAAATTGTGAACACTGATTGGATAGCTGATGATAAGGAATGATTGTTAACTTGTTTTAGTTGTAATAGTGGTATTGTGGATATGTTTTTGTTTATTTATTTATTTATTTTATTATTATTATTTTTGAGATGGAGTTTTCGCTCTTGTTGTCCAGGCTAGAGTGCAACAGGACAACCTAGCTCACAGCAACCTCCACCTCTTGGGTTCAAGTGATTCTCCTGCCTCAGCCTCCCAAATAGCTGGGATTACAGGCACCCACCACCATACCCGGCTAATTTTTTATATTTAGTAGAGATAAGTTTTCACCATGTTGGTCAGGCTGGTCTCGAACTCCTGACCTCAGGTGATCCACCCACCTTGGCCTCCCAAAGTGCTGGGATTACAGGCATGAGCCAACCCCCCTGGCCTGTGGATATGTTTTTAAAATCCTTATCCTTGGCCGGGCACGGTGGCTCACGCCTGTTGATCCTAGCACTTTGGGAGGCTGAAGTGGGCGGATCACCTGAGGTCAGGAGTTCCAGACCAGCCTGGCCAACATGGTGAAACCTCGTCTCTACAAAAATTAAAAACTTAGCCGGGCATGATGGTGGGCGCCTGTAATCCCAGCTACTCGGGAGGCTGAGGCGGAAGAATTGCTTGAACCCAGGAGGCAGAGGTTACAGTGAGCCAAGATCATGCCATTGCACTCCAGACTGGGTGACAGAGCAAGACTCTGTCTCAAAAAAAAAAAAAAAAAAAAAAAAAAAATCCTTATCCTTTAGAGATATATACTGAAATAGTCACAGGTAAAATATCATATTTAGAATTCACTTTAAAATGATTTGAGAAGGACTGAGATGAAACGAGATTGGCCTAGAAGTTAATAATTGTTGAAACTAGGTAATGGGTACATGGGGTTTCATTATGCTATTGTCTACTCTTATATATGTTGTTTAAAATTCTTCATAACAAAAGAGTTTTAAATACACATTAATACAATGAGCTCTCAATATCCTCACATAGTCTTAGCTCATGTAAGCCTTAGAAAAGGGGCTGAACAGCCAGGCGAGGTGGTTCTCACCTATAATCCCAGCATTTTGGGAGGCTGAGGCAGGTGGATCACCTGAGGTCAGGAGTTCGAGACCAGCCTGGCCAACACGGCACAACCCTGTCTCTACTAAAAATGCAAAAATTAGCCAGGCATGGTGGCAGATGCCCGTAATCCCATCGACTCGGGAGGGTGAGGCAGGAGACTCGCTTGAACCCAGGAAGTAGAGGTTGCAGTGAGCCAAGACTGCACCACTGCACTGCAGCCTGGGCAACAAGAGTGAGACTCTGTCTCAAAAAAAAAAAGAAAAAAGAAATGGGGCTGAAGAAGCTGGGCCATGTGTAGCCTCGTGGTCACTGTGTTCTCCTAGCAATTCATTGACTCCCCCTCGGCTACTGCAATGGTTCAGGCTGCATGTTGGGTCTTTATACTAGGAACAAAACACAAAATTACAAAAAGTACATTTTCTTTTTTTTTTTTTTGAGACAGAGTCTCGCTCTGTTGCCCAGGCTGGAGTGCAGTGGCATGATCTCGACTCACTGCAAGCTCCGCCACCCGGGTTCACGCCATTCCTCTGCCTCAGCCTCCCGAGTAGCTGGGACTACAGGGCCCGCCACCGTGCCCGGCTAATTTTTTTTGTGTATTTTTAGTAGAGACGGGGTTTCACTGTGTTAGCCAGGATGGTCTCGATCTTCTGACCTCGTGATCCGCCCGCCTCAGCCTCCCACAGTGCTGGGATTACCGGTGTGAGCCACTGCACTGGGCCCAAAAAGTACATTTTCTATAAAAATGCTTCACTTAAGGCCGGGCACGGTGGCTCACGCCTGTAATCCTAACACTTTGGGAGGTCAAGGTGGGTGGATCACTTGAGGTCAGGAGATCAAGACCATCCTGGCCAATATGGTGAAACCTTGTCTCTACTAAAAATACAAAAATTAGCCGGGCGTGGCAGCGAGAGCCTGTAATCCCACCTACTCCGGAGGCTGAGGCAGAAGAATTGCTTGAACACGGGAGGCGGAGGTTGCAGTGAGCTGAGATCACGCCACTGCACTCCAGACTGGCGACAAAGCTAGACTCCGTCTCAAAAAAAAAAGCTTCACTGAAGTTTGAGAGTCTTTCAAGTATAAGGCCCTAGGCCCAGCACTCTAGAGGACACTACATTGAGAAGACATGGCCCTATGTTCCGGTGGGGAGGAGGGAGGTATTGATCTAACGGAGAGAGAAGGACGAATACCCAGCTGATGGGGTGCATGGCCAAATGAAATACACAAAAAGGCATCCAGAAGAAGGACAGTTCCTCCAGATCGTTGCAGGAAATCCATACAGGTCCATGCTGAGATGACCCTGGGATTAAGCCTACCCAGATAGGATTTCAGCAGCAATGAGGAGGGGTCCTTCTGGCTGAGGGGATGGCAGGAAGATCTGGAGTGAGGAATGAAACACATGTGGCTTGCAAAGGGGGAGTAAGGCAAGTTTGTTAGAAGAAGGGTCAAGGCTGGAAGAAGATGAGTGATAGGGAAAAGAGAGGCAGGACCTGGCTGTGAAGGACAGTGACTATCACGCCGAGGGTCAGGGCTTCATCTGGTGAGCCCAGGGAAACCACACACTGTATTAGGAAGGCGGCACCTCCTGCTGCTTCAAAGGACAATGCAATCTGGCAGTTTCCTATGCAAGCTCAGCCACACCATCTGCCCTCCTCTTGGTTTCAGGCAATGGCCCAGCAATGCAGATCAAATGGTGTGAGTCAAGATTGTTAAATCGGTATTAAATGTAGAGCTGTGGCTGTGCGTGTGACAAGATGCCAAATGGAATGAAGCATCACTAAGCAATCAGAACTCCAAGGACTCTTAAAAAAAAAAGTAAGGCAACGTGGCAAAGCATCGCACATAAAAGAAAAAAAGTGTACAGCACCCAGCATGACCCCAAAACTTATTGACAGTTTGCTCCGTGTGTATGATTATGAAAGGGGCCTCTTAAAGCCACATCTCCGTGTGGTGACACCTGCTGTGTGATTCACCACACACCAAGCTGCCAATTTCAATTTTGTTCAGAGGTGTTTCTTACCATCTCCTCTCTCCACGTGTCAGCATCCAGCAGTCATCCAGGGAACAGGCCCATTTCCCCTCTCTTTCCCCTTGGGATAAGCATATACTGATCTTGTTCTAGGGAACCTCACAGCCTTTTCATAGACCTGTCTTTCTTTACTGACATAGTTTGCCAGCTGTATCCCAAAAGACTACAGGGGAAGTGAAAGCCACATGTTTGAATATCCAGGGGCTCCCACAAAGCACTTTGCCTCAACCTGTTGGCCTCTTACTAAATAACCAGGGTGTGTGCACACTTCCCTCCCCCTCCTCCACTCCAGTTGTGTGACAGTGGTATGCAGGTCTGTCACTCACACTGCCTTGCACATTGTGGTCACTGCAGGAGATCAATAAACAATATGACCAAAGCTAGTGCAGGCTCACTGTCACAAACGTTTCAGACTTCTTGTCAGGCCCCAATCTTGGATTAACAGACCCTCCCTGAGAAACGTACAAGGTTCAGTAGCAGCAGCTGAAGAACTCACAGCAGACACTCCACCAAAGGCGCAAAAATACTGGGGAGGCCAGACGCGGTAGCTCACCCCTGTAATCCCAGCACTTTGGGAGGCCAAGGCAGGTGGATCATGTGAAGTCGGGAGTTCGAGACCAGCCTGACCAACATGGAGAAACCCCGACTCTACTAAAAATACAAAATTAGCCGGGCATGGTGGTGCATGCCTGTAATTCCAGCTACTCGAGAGGCTGAGGCAGGAGAATTGCTTAAACCCGGGAGGCGGAGGTTGCGGTGAGCTGAGATCGCGCCACTGCACTCCAACCTGGGTAACAAGAGCAAAACTCCATCTCAACAACAACAACAACAACAACAACAACAAAAATACTGGGGAGGAAGGGGTCCATGTGGCAAGTGTACCCCAGTCACTTGCAAAAACCAAGCCGCCAGATGACCTTGGGCAAGGTCTAGATCAGACAAGTGTCTGTGATGCAATCAACCGCCAATCACAGGGCCAGGAGAGCCACAGAGCAGGCACTCAGCACACAGAGCAGCAGACATGCTATGTGTTTGACACCCTGCAAGACTGGCATGTGGCTTTCTCTGATCAGAGACAAGAGGCCACTCCATCACTCAAAGCCAAGTATGGGCACTCACTCTCCTTGAACCAGCCCTTACTCTGACTGATGT
Organism: Homo sapiens; assembly: GCF_000001405.40. NCBI lineage: Eukaryota > Metazoa > Chordata > Mammalia > Primates > Hominidae > Homo > Homo sapiens. Next base: position 30,704,973 of record NC_000022.11, on the reverse strand, counting down.
CACTGATGTCTGCAAGGAGGAATGAGTTCACACCTGTGCAGAAAAGAGTTCACACAGCAGGCCTGAGACTGCCCGTCCTTTGACAGGCCTGCTTCCAAGGGGCCTTTGGCTAGTGTCTGGTAGCTTGAATTTGGGGAGGTTTCCTACCATTCCCTAACTGATAAGGGTGGCTCACTGTGCCTATACTGTTTGTACAAACGATGTGATTTATGGCAAATATCTGCTTTCCAGCTCACACCTGTAATACCAGCACTTTGGGAGGCTGAGATCACCTGAGGTCAGGAGTTCGAGACCAGCCTGGCCAACATGGTGAAACTCCATCTCTATTAAAAATACAAAAATTAGCCAAAAATATCTTGAACCCAGGAGGCAGAGGTTGCAGTGAACTGAGACTGCACCACTTCACTCCAGCCTGGGCGACACAGCAAGACTCTGTCTCAAAAAAAAAAAAAAAAATCTGCTTTCCTTCTGGGAATCTGGAATTTGGGTACGTGCCAAACAGAAGGTGCCCACATGACGAACTCCCAGTAAAAACCCTGGGCTCTGAGTCTCTAAGGATCTTCCCTGGTTGGCAGCATTTCACGTGCGTTGTCACAACTCGGTGGTGGAGGGATTAAGCGCATCTTGTGTGACTCCACTGGGAGAGGACCCTTGGAAGCTTGCAGCTGTTTTTCCCCAGACTTCACTCTGTTTCTTTGCCATCGTGCTTTCTTTGCATCCTTTCATTGTAATAAAGTATAGCTGTGGGTACAACTATTAGGTTGGTACAAAGGTAATCACAGTTTTTGCCATTAATATATGCTGAGTCCTGTGAGTCCTCCTAGTGGGTCATTGAGCCTGGGGTTACTTTCGGAGACCTCCAACCCAGGACCCCACAGAAGAGTCTCCCCAGTGTGAGGTGGGTGGACACCTTTGCGTGGGCTGAGTCAGAAGACTGTGATTGAATCCTCGTGCTGTTCATGTGCTTCCAGTTTTTTCCCCATGTAACAGGATGGCAAGATCAGCACTCCTGCACTGAAAGCATAAACTGGAAGTCACTCTGACACTTGCAGAATACCCCACAGACAAAAGGTTGTATTATCCAGTTGGATCTAACATTTTAGGGTAGAGGCCCCTTCTTTGATCAATAGCTGGCTTCCAACAGTGCAAGGCAAGCCATCAGATACACAGAAAAGTAGCTTTAAAAGCTATAAGGCCAGGCCAGGCACGATGGCTCACACCTGTAATGCCAGCACTTTGGGAGGCTGAGGCGGGCAGATCACTTGAAGTCAGGAATTTGAGACCAGCCTGGCCAACATGGTGAAACTCCGTCTCTACTAAAAATACAAAAATTAGCAGGGCATGGTGGCAGGTGACTGTACTCCCAGCTACTTGGGAGACTAAGACAGGAGAATTGCTTGAACCCAGGTGGCAGAGGTTGTGGTGAGCCAGGATCGTGCCACTGCACTCCAGCCTGGGCAACAGAGTGAGATTCTGTCTAAAAAAAAAAAAAAGCTATAAGGCCGGGCATGGTGGCTTACGCCTATAATCCCAACACTTTGGGAGGCTGAGGAGAGTGGATCACTTGAACTCAAGAGGTTGAGACCAGTTTGGCCAACATGGTGAAACCCCATCTCTACTAAAAATACAAAAATTAGCTGGGTGTGGTGGTGCACACCTGTAATCCCAGCTACTCCAGAGGCTGAGGCAGGAAAATCGCTTGAACCCAGGAAGCAGAGGTTGCAGTGAGCCAAGATTTTGCCACTGCACTTCAGCCTGGGCAACACAGCGAGACTCCATCTCAAAAAATTTAAAAAAAAAAAAATAAGATACTGGTTCACTGAGTAGCCTATTGCAACACATTCAAAGCTAGAAACACATTATATCCACATTCCCACTGTTGCTTTTCCTGCACTCCTGGCTTAAGCCTGCAATCTCCAATTTATCTCCCCAGTTAACTTATTGCAGCAAACAAGTTTTTGAAATGGAAGACAAATTAAGAAAAATTCAAGTTTGGCATGAACATACTTGGCTTTCTGAAATCCCATAAACTCACAGGCAACTCTAATTCATTTACTCACTCATCTATTAACAGACAAACCAAGCTACTGAGGATGTATCAGTGGCAAGTACTACTCCAGGCTCTATGTGGAATACAAAGAAGATGCCAAACTTGGCCATGGTGTCCCCTTGACACAAAGTTATCTGCAGAGAAGCTCAGACATACCCTGTAAATTCCCAAAGGAGGAAGACCTGGTTCTTTGGATCAGTACGGGGCTACTCTAGGTATTTCAAACAGGAGAAATTCAATACAGGGATCTGCTTACACAGGAGAAGGTACTGTTTTGTTTTGTTTTGTTTATTTATTTTATTTATTTTTTGAGACCGAGTCTCACTCTGTCACCCAGGCTGGATTGCAGTGGCATGATCTTGGCTCACTGCAACCTCCACCTCCCAGGTTCAAGTGATTCTCATGCCTCAGACTCCCGAGTAGCTGGGGTTACAGGCACCCACCACCATGCCCAGCTAATTTTTGTATTTTTAGTACAGACAGGATTTCGCCATGTTGGTCAGGCTGGTCTCAAACTCCTGACCTCAGGTGACCCACCTGCCTCAGCCTGCCAAACTGCTGGGATTACAGGCGTGAGCCACCACGCCCAGCAGAGAAGGTACTATTGAAAGAGAATCCTGGAGAAGGTGAGACAACCCCAGGGTCATGGAGGTGGGACACTAGCACCACAGCAGGGATGCACTGTCCAGGACAGAAGCTGGGACACCAGGTAAGCAGAAGGCAGACCTGAACCATGATGCGGCAACTGGGATGGAGAGGAGGAGCTAGAGGAGATATACAGGCAGGACTTGGAAATTTCATCTAATGTGGGATGAGGGAGGGAAGAGGCAGCAAGTATGACTCAGAGGTATTCAGCTATTCATAGAAAGAGGAGTTAGGAGGGGGAGGCAGGTTTGGTGGGGAAAATGACAGTTCATGTCACTAGAACTTGCTAAGAATGTTGGTGTGCACTGTGCTCCTCCAAAATATGCTGCTAGTCCATTTGTCACCTCTTTGCAACAACTCTGTGCTAAATGCTAAGAAAATATACTTCAAATGCTTACACATGATCAACCTGTGCATTCCTTTTCGGCCTCCTAACAGTCTCAGAGTATGTAACAATGAATAATAATTTCAAATTAAAGCTGAATCCAATAAAGCTACCTTCGGGGGTATCCAGCCCATTATGTGAGGACTAACCCTGCACACTTGCACCCTCAACTTCATGTTTTCAGGGACGCTTTGCAACTGGATGGACTTTTCCATCTCCAGCCTTTGAGTATTATCAAAATTGACATTGAAGGCTGGGCGTGGTGGCTCACGCCTGTAATCCCAGCACTTTGGGAGGCCGAGGCGGGCGGATCACAAGGTCAGGAGATCGAGACCATCCTGGCTAACATGGTGAAACCCCGTCTGTACTAAAAATACAAAAAATAAGCCGGGTGTGGTGGCAGGTGCCTGTAGTCCCAGCTACTTGGGAGGCTGAGGCAGGAGAATAGCATGAACCTGGGAGGCGGAGCTTGCAGTGAGTCGAGATCATGTCACTGCACTCCGGCCTGGGCTACAGAGCGAGACTCTGTCTCAAAAAAAAAAAAAAAAAGAAAAGAAAAAGAAAAAAGAAAAAAAGAAATTGACATTGAAAACAGTACAATATTTCTCGGTGCCCAGTTTTCACAGCAGTTGGCTTTTGAGAACTGAGTTCATGGGAAGGGTGAGTACACAATCTATCCCAGAGGCAACAATGTCTTGGTGTGCCATCTTCTGTTACCTGGCCACTGACCCAAAATGGGTGCAGCTCACCAAGTGTTCAGTGGTCTTCCTCAGCCAAAGGACTTTTTTTTTTTTTTTTGAGACGTAGTTGCACTCTTGTTGCCCAGGCTGGAGTGCAATAGCACAATCTCGGCTCACTGCAACCTCTGCCTCCCAGGTTCAAGCAATTCTCCTGCCTCAGCCTCCCGAGTAGCTGGGATTATAGGCATGCGTCACCACGCCTAGCTAATTTTTTTTTTTTGTATATAGTAAAGACGGGGTGGGTTTCACCATGTTAGTCAAGCTGGTCTCGAACTCCTGACCTCAGGTGATCTGCCCGCCTCAGCCTCCCAGAGTTCTCGGATTACAGGCATGAGCCACTGTGCCCAGCCAAGGACTTTCAAAATTTGTTCTCACTTGACTGCAGCTATCTACCTTATAGACCTAGGCTAATTTCTGGGAGGCATTCCTTGCTAACTGGCTTAGCCATTTACTAAGCAGAGATCAGTATGAACAATAAATAAATTATTTAAAATGCTTCTGTTTGAAATCATTTCCTGAGAAATAAATGTCATTTATAATGTCACCAAGCAGACAACTGGTATACAACAAAACAGAAGTTTGCCTAACCTAATAAATGTTGTCATTAATATAGATAAAACTTCTGTTTGGAACACTTTCTCCATAAAAACTTGCTGATGACAATACATTTGAAAATTCTGTATCATTTAGGAATTATTCTCTAATTTTATGGAATCACGTGTTCCCTGTGAGATAAGAACTAGGGATAAATTTTTTCAAAGGGAACTTCCCGCAATTAAAAAAAAAGCCAACATTGAACAAAAAACCATATTCCTATATTCTCCTTGTTAGTATGCAAATAAACATATAATTAAGAATGCCAAGTAATGGAATAAGAATCTTGTCTTCTAGGCCAGGCTCGGTGGCTCAAGCCTGTTATTCCAGCACTTTGGGAGGCCGAGGCAAGCGGATCACGAGGTCAGGAGTTTGAGATCAGCTTGGCCGACATGGTGAAACCCCGTCTCTACTAAAAATACAAAAAAAATTAGCTGGGTGTGGTGGCATGCCTCTGTAATCCCAGCTACTCGGGAGGCTGTGGCAGGAAAATTGTTTGAAACTGGGAGGCAGAGGTCACAGTGAGCCGAGATCGTGCCACTGCACTCCAGCCTGGGTGACAGAACGAGACTCCATCTCAAAAAAAAAAAAAAGAAAAAAAGAATCTTCTGCCTTATTTATATTCCAAGCACATTGTCAGAAAGAAGTGAAAATCTGCCAACAATTATCCATATCTCATAGAAATACTTTTTACATGTGATAATATTTATAAAGAGCATTTTTAAAAATTCTTAATAATATGAATGTTATTAAGCCCAACTATTGGTAAAATGTGCTTTCTTCCTTAGAATATACTTAAGCAATCAAATGAGTTTCTCGAGCAAAATCCAGGGCAGAAGTACCTGAGGAAGTGACATTGAAAGGAGAAATTTTAATCCAAACCCCCACTCTTCTGCTATTAAGGTAAAAATAATGGAAATTGAAATGCAGGTCAGGACTACAATGAGCGATCACAGTTCCCATTCGATTAGCAAAATCAACACTGACAATACCAAGTCTTGCAAAGGATAAGGATCCACAGAATCTCTTTTTCATGACCGTTGGGAATATAAATTTGTGCAACTGCTTTGGGAAACAGTTTGGCATTACGTAAGATGAACATTCACAATTCTCTACAACCCAGAAATTATACTCAAGAGAAATTCCGGCACACATACAAGAATGTTTGTAGTGACCCATCATCAGGAAAATGCATAAGTAAAAGGTGCTACATTTGCACCCTGGACTTTATACAATAGTCAAAATAAGTCTTGTAAAAATAACATACTCTATATATTAGAAACCCTTTTTGAAATAAGGTTAAAGATGACTGCATAGCCAGGCACAGTGGCTCATGCCTGTAATCTCAGCAGTTTGGGAGGCTGAAGGGGGTGGATCACTTGAGGCCAGGAGTTTGAGACCAGCCTGGCCAACATAACGAAACCTTGTGTCTACTAAAAACACACAAAAAATTAGCTGGGCACGGTAGCACACGCTTGTGATCCCAGCTACTCAGGAGGCTGAGGCATGAGAATCACTGGAACCTGGGAGTGGGAGGGTGTAGTAAGCCAAGATCGTGCCACTGTGCTCCAGCCTGGGCAACAGAATAAGACTCTGTCTCAAAAAAAACAAAAATTGCAATAAAAAATATGGACTTTTAAATATTACACCTAGATGAGATAAAATTAAATAAAATGGGGAGAAAAGTGCATGGCGACCAGGATTAGGAATAGTGGCTATCCTGGAGGAGGGGAGGCCAGAAAGTGGGATGGGATGGCAGGGGGCACAAGAAATAGATGCTCACATTTTCTCCAAACACCAGGCTTCACTTAGTTAAAAAGTTGGCCAGGTGCAGTGGCTCATGCCTGTAATCCCAGCACTTTGGGAGGCCAAGGCGGGCAGATCACGAAGTCAGGAGTTTGAGACCATCCCGGCCAATATGGTGAAACCCCGTCTCTACTAAAAATACAAAAAATTAGCCAGGCGTGGTGGTGCACGCCTGTAGTTCCAGCTACTCGGGAGGCTGAGGCAGGGGAATAGCTCGAACCTGGGAGGCAGAGATTGCAGTGAGCTGAGATCACGCCACTGCACTCCAGCCTGGCGACAGAGCAAGACTCTGTCTCAAAAAAAAAAAAAAGAAAAAGAAAAATTAAAAAGTTGAGAGTGGTCTTTCCAAAAGAGAAGCCAGCAAGAGAAATGGCCCTGATTCCTTCTTCGCCAGCCACATTGCCCAGCAGGTAAGCTTGACTCTACCAGCCCCCAAGGAAAAGAGATCATGAATTTAAAAATTCTTTCACTTTATTTCCAACTCACAAGCACCCTAATCTCACCTCTATCCCCAGCCACACCCATTTGGCCACCTGCTGAGAGCTGGGTGTCTGGAGAGGGCTGGAGGAGATAACACACATGCACGGCACTGGGCACATTTGGCGCATCCGAAAACCCACCCTGCTGCTGTCAGGGTTACGTGACAGACCTGGAGGATGCTCAGTCCTTGATCCCAGCTGGCAAGATGGCCTGTTCTAGAAGGGGAATTCAGATCAGAAGTGGGGACAGGAGAGCGGCGTCAAACATCTCAAGTGGCAATTCCAGCTGCACTTCAAAAGGGCCTTTTCTGCACATATACTCATCTCTGGTGGCATTCGGACACACAGCCTGCAAGCTGGCCGTCTCTGGGGAGGCCATTGAGGTTCATTCATTCAGCCTCAGTTCCCCTTTCCTGGCCAGCCTTGCATGGAATGCAATGAGGGCACAGGATCGTATAAATGTCAGGAATCGTTCATTATACCTGGGTAAGGTCAGCAACAATTTGACCCATCTTAGAATCTCGAAAAGTCCGAAAAGGAAATTGCAGAGCTGGACTGTACACGCACACACACCAGAAACTTGTTCTCACTCCCTCCTCCCCACAAAACTAGCATTTATCTTCACAACATTATCAGCAAGCAGTAAGAATTTTTCTTAGTTACCCAGAGAATCTGCACACTTGAGATCACTCTGAAATGTCAACCGTCTACACATTTTGTTTTAAGAAAAGAAGATTTGGGAGGCTGAGACGGGCAGATCATGAGGTCAAGAGATCAAGACCATCCTGGCCAACATGGTGAAACCCCGCCTCTACTAAAAATACAAAAATTAACCGTGTGTGGTGGCGCACACCTGTAATCCCAGCTACTTGGGAGACTGAGGCAGGAGAACTGCTTGAACCTGGGAGGCGGAGGTTGCAGTGAACCGAGATTGCACCACTGCCCTCCAGCCTGGTGACAGAGTGAGACTCCATCTCAAAAAATAAAAAAAAGAAGATGGACATCTTTGCTCTTCCAATTAAAACCCAAAAGCATGATATCAGGTTTTACTTCCACTAAAACCAGGCATTTCTGCCACTGTGGGAGACTATACTTATAAACATTACCTTTAACTCTTCAGTTTAGTAGTACCTGGTAAATACAGGTAACACAGACATGCTGAACTCAAAGGTGAGTGGGTATCAGGACACATTTGGGACAGGTCCAGATGTTGGTGTTCAGAATCCCTCTCTACCGTCTACTGGGCCAGTGCCTTTGGATAATGGGCTCTGTGTCTCCCCATCAAACCTCAGAACTCCTCATTTGTAAGACAGGAGAGGCCGGTGTGGTGGCTCATGCCTGTAATCCTAACACTTTGGGAGGCCGAGGCAGGCGAATCACCTGAGGTCAGGAGTTCGAAACCAGCCTGGGCAACATGGTGAAACCCCATCTCTACTAAAAATACAAAAAAAAAATTAGCCGGGCATGGTGACGGGCGCCTGTAATCCCAACTACTCAGGAGGCTGAGGCAGAAGAATTGCTTGAACCTGGGGGGCGGAGGTTGCAGTGAGCCAAGATTGCACCACTGCACTCCAGCCTGGGCGACAGAGCAATACTCCGTCTCAAAAACAAAAACAACAAAAAACAAAACCCTGTAGTGGGTGACTTGAAGGGATACTGTTGGCTGAATGAAGTGAGTGAAGTGACCTGAATTTCAGCAACAGCAAGTCAAGGTCCTTTTGTGTGCAGCAATGAAACAGTGCTTCTCAGAGTGTGGTCCTGGACCAGCATCACCAGCCACGCCTGGGAAGTTATTAGAAAATCCGAATCTCAGGCCCTTCCCCTAGGCCCACTGTAACAGAAATTCATTGGGGAGGCCCAGCACTTTGTGTTCCAACAAGCTCTTCAGGGAATGCTGATGCACACTCAGGTTTGAGAACCACTGGCATAGACTGATCTGAGTTCTCAAGGCTTAAACCAACCATCCCCAGGAAGCAGACCCAGGGAAGAGCCAGTAAGAAAGCAAAGGGAGGCTTCAGTAACCTCCTTTCAACCAGTTTCAGTGGGAAGACAGTGTTAGCTCTCTCACCACTGGACTTTAATTTTGAATCCCGTGCTGGGTCTGGAATAAGAAAGGAGGGCAGCAAAACACTTCCTAGCTCTCCGCAAAATGCCAAGATGGACTCCTGAAGGCCAAGAACCGTGTCCAATACATCTGTGAGTCTGTGGTGCCCAGCCCAAGGCCTGGCAACCAGAGGCATCAGGAAAGGTGGGAGTAACTGCCCCAGGCGGGAAGAATAAGCAGCCCTTCCTAAGAGTGTGGGTCCTAAGGACTGAACAAGGTGACTCTCTCCCTCAATCCCAAACACACAATGATGTTAGCTCCCGAACCAGAAAGGGCAAGGACTTTGAGGGGCTGACTCTAGCTAGCTGCCCCAAGCCCCACAACTGCCAAGCAGAAGGGAACTGAGGCCCCAGATCACTCCCTTACTCCACCTCCCCACTTGCCCAAAAACCCAAGCTTGCCAGAGGTCATGTCCGCAGATCACATTCACCCTTGCCAGAGGTCAGGGCCCCCGGCCCTTGGCGGCGGGCCAGAAGCGTGACTTGGCCTGCTGGAATGCATGCCCCTAAACATCTCTAGACTAGTGGCAGTGTCCGCCAACCATGGAGGCCCTCCATCACCATCCCTGCAGCATCACCACCCTCCAACCCCCATGTCCCACCCTGGCGCTTCCATACCTGTAGTAAGAGAGCAAACCATTGCCCAGCACGAACCAGCGGCGCTGGTAGCCCTTCAGATAGTTGGTCCACTTGAGAAGCCAGCCCTCGAAGCTGTCCAGAGGCAGTAAGGCCAGTGGGGCACTGGAGGTCGTGCCAGTCCCCGACATTGGAACCCCAAGAGGAGTCTTCGCCTGTCCTGGTCGCAGAAGAGGCAGGGGCTTTAACGCTGGCAGCGATCCTGACTCGGGTCTGAGAAAGGTCGCGCTCCCCACCGCCCGGGAGAGCGGCTCCGATGCGGCCTTAGTGAAGGGCCCAGCCCCTACACCTGAGCTTGACTCTGACCCCGGCCGCGACCCCTGCAGCAGTTCCGATGGCTGCCCAGCCCCTGGCTCCGGCTCAGACGTCGTCTCGGACACAGGTTCCGATCTTGGCACTGCCTCCGAAACTGCCTCCGACACCTGTTCTGACAGCGGTCCCCGCTCCGGTTCGGGCACGGGCTGGGGCTGGGGCTTGGGCTCCGGCCCGGAGCCGGACGTGGAAGCGCTCATGCCCGGCGCCGCCGTGTGGCACGACAGGCAGGGGACAACCGTGAACAGCGACGAGAGCCCGCGGGAGCGGCCGCCACAGCCGCCGCCTCGGCTCGGAGCCGCCGCTTTCCCCATAGAGCCGGCCGACCCGCGCGCGGCCGAGCGGCCAGTGGGGGCGGGGGGCAGGCCGGGGGCGGGGCCGGGGGCGCAGTCACGTGCGCGCGGCGCGAGGCGGGGGCGCGCGCGGGTTCCTCCGCGGTCCCGTGCGCTCCGTGCCCGTCAGCGCCCGCCGGCTGTTGTGCTCTCGGCCAGCCTCGGGCCATGTTTGGACCCTGGGTCCTTCCTAGGTCCGGCCGGTGGAAGGAGCTCTGACAACACCTGTGGGCGGAAGAGCTTGGTGGTCGGTCAACTCCGAAGGGGATGGCGCGCTTCAGGCCACGGTCTCTGCTTCGGCCCAGCCGTGCCAGGCGCTGGAGGAACAATGATGAATGCGGAGCCCGCCAGCTCCCAGCGCAGCTCTGCCCACGGGACCCTGCGCCGACGCCCCCTCCCCCAACCCAGGCTGGGGTGGGTTCGCTCTCCGCCACCCAGGAAAGCCGGGTGGGAAGCAGGTACGGCACCCAGAGGCCACGAAATGCGCACGAAGCACAGGGGCGCTAAAGGCTAAAGACGACGCCCCGCCCCCCATGGCAGCCATTACCTGTCTGTGGGTCGCTCCTGCGGCCGCCAGAAGCGGTGGCCCCAAGTGGCCGCCTCACCGCCTCCACCTCCTGAGCCAGCTGGCCTACGGTTCATGCCAAGGCGCTTCGCTGCCAGTGACGACATCGTTCGGGTTCTCTAAACAAATAGGGGAAGACTTTTTGTAAACCAAGCGTTTTAGTACAAGAAACATCTCAAAGTGGGATTCTGAACTTGGACCTCCCGGGATCCCTGGGTAGGCTGGCAGTCTGTGAGGCTTCCGCAGAGGTTTACCTGTCTGTGCATTTTTCCAGAGTAGGTCCATAACAAAGGAGGCTGTGACCCCAGAATGGTTAAAACATCAGCGAATTTTTTTTTCCGCTTTTTTTTTTTTTCCTTTTTGAGACTGAGTCTCACTCGGTAGCCCAGGCTGGAATGCAGTGGCGTGATCTTGGTTCACTGCAGCCTCCGCTTCCCAGGTTCAAGCGATTCTCCTGCCTTGGCCTCCCTAGTAGCTGGAATTCCACGGCCCGCACCATGCCCAGCTAAATTTTGTATTTTTAGTAGAAACGGGGTTTCACCATGTTGGTCAGGCTGGTCTTGAACTCCTGACCTCAGGCCAGGATCCTCCCGCCTCGGCCTCCCAAAGTGCTAGGATTACAGGCGTGAGCCACTGTGCCCAGCCATCAGTGATTTTTTTTTTTTCTTAAGAATCTATCCAAATGACGAAAGTTGATGGTTACTACAAATAATCAGAAATACAAATGGAAAGACTGAACATTGGGTTTCTGTCCAGACTTTTCAAGCTTAGACCTCTCTGCAGACTCCTCTTAGCTCACCATCACGTCTTACTCTCCCCTTACCCACCTATCCATTCCTGATCTTTGCTTGTGACAAGATAACCTGTGTAGGGACTGCTTCCTACGTGAAGTGGTCCCCAGAAGGAAGCAGATTGGAAGGTCCTAGAAATAGGAGGTGCAGACATGCACTGAGCAGGAGCCGCTGGCATCTTTGCTGGTGACTTTGAGACCCCTTCCTCAGGCACTTGTCTTTGAATGGTGGTCTTACCTGCAATTTTGCTGTGAGCTCTGGAGTGCAGAGAGCCCCCCATCTTGGTCTATCTCATATGTATGACGGTGACCCTCAAACTTCAGCATGGTGAGTCCCCCCAAGGAAAAGTGATTGCCTCTGGGGTGTAGTGGGGGACAGAACTGGACAACTGAGAAATGAGGTGGAATGCTTGCTTTTCACTCACACTTTGAACCTTTTGTATGTTTTACTGTGTATGTTTCACTGTGTGTATGTTTCACCGATTCAAAATAATGATGATAATTGTTAAAATCACCCCAGGGAGGTTTATTAGAAACACACTTTTCCAGAGCTGGGCACGGTGGCTCATGCCTGTAATCCCAGCACCTTGGGAGGCCGAGGCAGGCAGATCACGAGGTCAGGAGACCAGTCTGGCCAACATAATGAAACCCTGTCTCTACTAAAAATTAAAAAAATTAGCCGGGTGTGGTGGTGTGTGCCTGTAATCCCAGCTACTCGGGAGGCCAAGGCAAGAGAATTGCGTGAACCCAGGAGGCAGAGGTTGCAGTGAGCCGAGATCGCAACATTGCACTCCAGCACGGGCGACAGTGAGAGACTCCATCTTAGTAAAAAAAAGAAAAAGAAATTCACTTCTCCATCCCCAGTAAGTCAGAGGTGGAATCCAAGAACATGCTTTTTTTTTTTTTTTCTTTTTCTTTTCTTGAGACAGTGTCTTACTCTGTCACCTAGTCTGGAGTGCAGTGATGCAATCATGGCTCACTGCAGCCTTGGCCTTCAGGGGTCAAGTGGTCCTCCCACCTCGGCCTCCAGATTAGATGGGACTACAGGCATGTGCCACCACACCCAGCTAATTAAAAAAATTTTTTTTTGTAGAGATGGAGTCTCCCTATGTTGCCCAGACTGGTCTTGAAATCCTGGCTCAGGGAATCCTCCTGTCTTGGCCTCCCAAGGTGTTGGGATTACAGGTGTGAGCCACCTCGTCCAGCCAGGAACATGCATTTTATTATTTATTCATTTACTTTGAGATGGAGTCTTGCTCTGTTGCCCAGGCTGGCATGCAGTGGCACAATCTCGGCTCACTGCAACCTCTGCCTCCTGGGTTCAAGCGATTCTTGTGCCTCAGCCTCCCGAGCAGCTGGGATTACAGGCATGCGCCACCAGGCCCAGATAATTTTTGTATTTTTAGTAGAAACGGGGTTTCACCATGTTGGCCAGGCTGGTCTCGAACTCCTGACCTCAGGTGATCCACCCACCTCGGCCTCCCAAAGTATGAGGATTACAGGCATGAGGGACCACGCCCAGCTGAGAACATGCATTTTAATGATTTCCCAGAGGTTTTGCATGTGGATGGATCATGGAGCACATTTTGGTGGACAGTGATGTGGAGGGAACATCTACGGCTTTGGGAGTCAGACCCACGAAAGAAATCCCAGTTCGGCCACTCCCTTGCTGTGGGTCCTTCAGTGACCCCGCTGAGCTTCCACTTGCTCATCTGTAAAATGAGGATAATAACAACTACCTCTCAGGTTGTAATGAAATAATGTATGTAAACCATATTTGACATAGTAAGTGCTTAGTAAATATTCTCTAGTTATTTACTAGAGGGTTCTCTGTGAAATGTTTGGTGAAATGAACTAAACAGAGGCCAGAGCAGAAGGAGATGAGACCAAGGTTGACAAGCTTGGGAAATAACCACAATGGGCAAAGCTCAGTGCCTGCTATGTATGCATCAGATGCGTTTGCAACCCTTAAGGAAGGAAGCTGTCTAGTAAACAAATAGTTAAGGATATGTTTTGACTGCTGCAATAAATTGCCAAGCTCTCAAAGATGACAGGGCCTGCCATCTTCATTAGTTCTGCCAGAGTGAGTGAAGAAGGAGTCAGAGAAGGGACAACTTTTGCACTGAGTCCAAGGGATAAGGAGTGAAAGGGCATTCAAGGTGAAGGAACCAGCATAGTCTAAGTCCTATGTTGGGAAAGAACAGCTTGTCTGGAAGTGATAAATAGTTCATCATATCTGGAAGAGTAAGACAGGAGATGGAACAGAGCTGGGTGGACACCACACTGTGAGGAATGCTCTTTAGCCTACAGAAAGAAGGATTCCTGGGGACAAAGGAGTTTTTTTAATTTATATATTTATTTATTTGCTCTGTCGCCCAGACTGGAGTGCAGTGGCACGATCTCGGCTCACTGCAACCTCTGCCTCCCAGGTTCAAGCAATTATCCTGCCTCAGCCTCCCGAGTAGCTGGGATTACAGGTGTGCGCCACTGCACCTGGCTAATTTTTTGTATTTTTAGTAGAGACAGGGTTTCACCATGTTGGCCAGGCTGGTTTTGAACTCCTGACCTCAGGTGATCCGCCCACCTCGACCTCCTAAAGTGCTAGGATTATAGGCTTGAGCCACTGCGCCCGGCCCAAAGGAGATTTTTTACCAACTACAAGTCTGGGGCAGGAAATATGCAAGATGAGCCTGCCTGGACATTTTGTCATGCCAGAAAGTGAAAAGGCTATTCAAGACCACTGTTGTGACAAAAGCACTCGGGCCAACTTAAAGGGGCTCACAGTGGCCAAAGGTGGAAGAATATGAGCAAAAAGAATAATGATTGCAACGGGATGAAACATCAACTAAATAAAAATCCATAAATTAAATGCATACGTTCCTAAAGTTACACACACACACAAAAACCCACTAAAACAAAAACCCGCCTTATTGGTCATATGTGGAGTTTACCACAGTACCAATTCATTATTCTGAAAATTGATAAAGGGAAAGAATTAAGTCTGTATCCTATCCTTGTTGTACAAACTATCTCATAGTAACAAAGACTTCACGAAGGAAAAATGTGTATAGAAGAATTAGCTAGACCAGGTGCAGTGGCTCACACCTGTAATCTCAACACTGGGAGGCCAAGGCAACTGGATCCCTTGGGCCCAGGAGTTTGAAACCAGCCTGGGCAACATAGTGATAACCCATCTCTATGAAGGAAAAAATAAATGAATAATTAGCGAATAAATGCAGAAGGGGGCCGGGCGCAGTGGCTCATGCCTGTAATCCCACCACTTTGGGAGGTGAAGGCAGGTGAATTGCTTGAGTCCAGGAGTTTTGAGACCAGCCTGAGCAACATAGTGAAACCCCGTCTTTACAAAAAATACAAAAATTAGCTGGGCATGGTGGTGTGTGCCTGTAGTCCCAGCTACTCAGGAGGCTGAAGTGGAAGGATCACATGAGCCTGGAAGGTGGAGGTTGCAGTGAGCCAAGATCATGCCATTGCACTCCAGCCTGGGTGACAGATCAAGGCCCTGTCTCAAAAAATAATAATAAAAATAATAAATGCAGAAGGAATTATAGAATTAGAAAAAAATTATATTTGCCAACTCCTAATGAAATACTGTAATGGATCAAATAATCACCAATAGTTAACTAAGTGATGGGGTTGATGGGGAACGTCTGAAAGGATCAGGCTGACATCAGCTGATTCTACCTGTTGATCTTAGCATCACAAAAAGTGCAACAGGATATAATGTGCCTCCCCCCATGTGACCAAACAGGAAAAACAGCACCACCTATGATTATTTTTATACCACCTCCCTCCATTCAAAAAAACTAAATCTGTTTAGTTTTTAGTTTGAACAGTACTTTTAAAATGCAGGAGACAGAGGAACATGCTAAATGGCAGAAGGAGTCAGTCAGTCAAATCCAAAAATAGAAAAATCTACATCCTAACGACAAGTTTTATTCAATAAATGCATGGCCTAGGAAAAGGAGGTGAATTGGAAAATGTTATAAAGTTTCGAAAGATGTATCAACCAGATACAGTGTGTGTGAACTTTATTTTAATCCTGATTCAAACAAACCATTAAAAAAATACTGCTGGGCACGGTGGCTCACGCCTGTAATCCCAGCACTTTGGGAGGCTGAGGTAGGTGGATCACCTGAGGTCAGGAGTTCGAGACCAGCCTGGTCAACATGGCAAAACCTTGTCTCCACTAAAAATACAAAAATTAGCCAAGCGTGGTGGCAGACGCCTGTAATCCCAGCCACTAGGGAGGCTGAGGCAGGAGAATCACTTGAACCCAGGAGGTGGACGTTGCAGTGAGCTAAGATCGCACCACTGCACTCCAGCCTGGGCAATAAGAGTGAAACTTCATCTCAAAAAAAAAAAAAAAAAAAAAGTCCGGGCACATTGGCTCACACCTGTAACCCCAGCACTTTGGGAGGCCAAGGCGGGTGGAATCACCTGAGGTTGGGAGTTCGAGACCAGCCTGACCAACATGGAGAAATCCCATCTCTACTAAAAATATAAAAAATTAGCCGGGCATAGTGGCGCATGCCTGTAATTCCAGCTACTGGGGAGGCCAAAGCAGGAGAATCGCTTGAACCCGGGAGGTGGAGGTTGCGGTCAGCCGAGATCGTGCCATTGCACTCCAGCCTAGGCAACAAAAGTGAAACTCCATCTCAAAAATAATAATAATAAATAATACATCTTGGGGACAATTGGGGAATATGGAACACAGATCATGTTTTAGGAAACACTGATCTGTGGACTAAATGTTGTCCCCCGAAAATCCGTATGTTGAAGCCCTAACCCCCAGTGTGACTGTATTTGGAATAAGGAAGTTAATTAAGGTTAAATGAGGTTATGGAGTAGGGCCCTAATCCAATAGGATTCCTTATAAAAAGAAACACCATTGTTTCCTGTTATTTCAGTGTTAAAATAAAAAGAGGTCAGGCGCGGTGGCTCACACCTGTAATCCCAGCACTTTGGGAGGCTGAGGCAAGCAGATCACTTGAGGTCAGGACTTTGAGATCAGCCTGGCCGACATGGTGAAACCCCATCTCTACTAAAATACAAAAATTAACCTGGCGTGGTGGTGCATGCCTGTAATGCCAGCTACTCGGGAGGCTGAGGCAGGAGAATCGCTTGAACTTGGGAGGCGGAAGTTGCAGTGAGCTATCATGCCATTGCACTCCAGCCTGGGCAACAGAGAGAGACTCCTTCTCAAAAAAAAAAAAAAAAAAAAAAAAGGCTGGGCGCGGTGGCTCACGCCTGTAATCCCAAGACTTTGGGAGGCCAAGGCGGGCGGATCATGAGGTCAGGAGATCAAGACCATCCTGGCTAACACGGTGAAACCCTGTCTCTACTAAAAATACAAAAAACTAGCCAGGCATGGTGGCAGGCGCCTGTAGTCCCAGCTACTCGGGAGGCTGAGGCAGAAGAATGGCATGAACCTGGGAGGCGGAGCTTGCAGTGAGCCAAGATCGCTCCACTGCACTCCAGCCTGAGTCACAGAGTGA
Source organism: Homo sapiens (assembly GCF_000001405.40). Lineage (NCBI taxonomy): Eukaryota > Metazoa > Chordata > Mammalia > Primates > Hominidae > Homo > Homo sapiens. The sequence continues at coordinate 30,688,020 of NC_000022.11, read as the reverse complement.
GACTCCATGTCAAAAAAAAAAAAGGCCTGGCATGGTGGCTCACGCCTGTAATCTCAGCACTTTGGGAGGCTGAGGTGGGTGGATCACCTGAGATCAGGAGTTTGAGACCAGCCTGGCCAACGAGACGAAACCCCGTCTCTACCAAAAATACAAAAATTATCCGGGCCTGGTGGCATTCGCCTGTAGTCCCAGATACTCAGGCGGCTGAGGCAGGAGAATTGTTTGAACCTGGGAGGTGGAGGTTGCAGTGATCTGAGATCACGCCACTGCACTCCAGCCTGGGAGACAGAGCGAAACTCCATCTCAAAAAGAAAAAAAAAGAAAGAAAGAAAAGAAGAAACACCAGAGAGCTTGCTTTCTCTCTTCATCCCCAAGTGAGGACACAGCAAGAAGGCAGCCATCTGCAAGCCAGGAATAGAGACCTCGCCAGAAACTAAACAGGCTAGGCCCTTGATCTTGGACTTCTGACCTCCAGAACTGCAAGAAATAAATTTCTCAATCTCTGTCAGTCAGTCTAGAGTATACCATAATAGTCTCCCAGTCTATGTACCGTCACATACACATGACATTTCAGTCAACCACAGACCAAATATTCGACAGTGGTCTCATAAGATTATAATACTGTATTTTTACTGCACCTTTTCCATCTATAGATATGTTTAGATACACAAATGCCTACCTTTGTATTACATTTGCCTACAGTATTCATTACAGTAACATTCCGTACAGGTTTGTAGCCTAGGAGCAATAGGTTACATCATATACCTTAGGAGTGTAGTAGTCTATCCCATGTAGGTTTGTGTAAGTGCAACATGTCCTCAAATCACATCATTTTGTTTAACATCCTTTTGTTATAGTGTTGATGAGAACCCGGGCGTGGTGGCTCACGTCTGTAATCCCAAGCACTTTGGGAGGCCAAGGTGGGCAGATCACCTAAGGTCACGAGTTCAAGAACAGCCTGGCCAACATGGTGAAATCCACTCTCTACTAAAAATACAAAACTTAGCCAGGCGTGGTGGCATGTACTGGTAATCACAGCTACTTGGGAGGCTGAGACAAGAGAATCGCTTTAACCTGGAAGGCAGAGGTTGCAGTGAGCTGAGACCACACCCCTGCACTCCAGCCTTGGTGATAGAGTGAGACTCTGTCTCAAAAAATAATAGTAATATTAATAATAATGTTGATGAGAAAATCAATTCCCAGCAGGGAGCCAATATCTGTGTGGAGTTTGCATGTTCTCCCCAGGTCTGTGTGGGTTTTCTCCAGGTAATCTGGTTTCTTCCCACATCCCAAAGACATGTGTATTAGGTTCATTGGTGTGTCTAAATGGTCCCGGTCTGAGTGAATGTGAATATGTGTGCTCTGCCATGGAATGGCATCTTGTCCAGGGTTGGCTTCTGCCTTGTGCCCTGAGCTGCTGCGATAGGCTCCGGCCACTCACAAACCTCAACTGGAATAAGCGGGTAAATAATTACCTTACTTGTTTTTTATTCATGTTTCTTAAGCATATATATAGTTCACATTTATTTCAATATTTAATATTAGAAATGTTTTGGATCTTTATTTAGAAGTTTGGTGCTGTTTTGTGGCAAGAAATAAGCAATAAGAACTTAGCTCTTGTTTATATCAATTAGCCTATGGCAAAATTGGTTTTATGATACATTGTTTTGTTTAAAGATGAAGTTTCCGGGCCAGGCCAACATGGTAAACAGCCTGGCCAACATGGTGAAACCCTGTCTCTACTAAAAATACAAAACTTAGCCAGGTATGGTGGCGCACACCTGTAGTCCCAGCTACTTGGGAGACTGAGGTGAGAGGATCACTTGAATGCGGGAGGTAGGGGTTGCAGTGAGCTGAGGTCCCACCACTGCACTCCAGCCTGGGTGACAGAGCAAGACTCGGTCTCAAAAACAAACAAACAACAAGGAAAAACAGAAAATTAGTGGCCGGGCGAGGTGGCTCACACCTGTAATCCCTGCACTTTGAGAGGCTGAGGCAGGTAGATCACCTGAGATCAGGAGTTTGAGACCAGCCTGGCCAACATGATGAAACCCCATCTCTAGTAAAAATACAAAAAATTAGCTGCATGTGGTGGTGCGCGCCTGTAATCCCAGCTACTCAGGAGGCTAAGGAGAGAGAATCACTTGAACCCCGGAGGTGGAGGTTGTAGTGAGCCAAGATCGTGCCACTGCATTCCAGCCTGGGCAACAAGAGCGAAACTCCATCTCAAAAAAAAAAAAAAAAAGAAAAGAAAAGGAAAGAAAAGAAAAAAAGAAAATTACTATAAAATGCTTCTGTTTTACAAATGTTAGGCCTTTTGTATACATCACTTCCCACCCTTAAAACAACCCTGTAAGATTGGTTTCATAATCCCTATGTTTATGCAAGAAGAAATCAAGGCTCACAAAGCTAAAGACGCCTGCCCAGACACACACACACACACACGCGCACGCGCAAATGGGGAGCCAAGATTCAAACAGAAGGTTCTCTAGTCCGAAAACCTGCTCACCTGTGCAGTAAAAGAATATAAACCTGAGCCTCCAACCCCAAGGTGCCTGCCCACCCAAAACAAACCCTGCCAGACTGTCCCTGAGAGGCTCAGGAGAAGGAAACGCTAAAAGATGGCAAGGAGCAAAGTCCCCTTGGGCTGGAAGGCTCTGGAGTAGCTGGTCATCCTTGTTTTGCAGAACTGCTTACAAGCCATCACTTCCACCTGAGGTTAGCCTTGTGAGATAGCAAATATCACTGTCCCCCTCTGCCCGAGTCCAAGGTCACATCACTGACTGGATAAAAACCCAGGTCTCCCAGCTGCCATCTGGTCTTCATTCCAAAATCCAGACAGAGTCTCTTATGAGCTTGTGGCCACAGATACAAAAGTAGATGCTGATGTGTGTCTCATTTTATTCAGGAAAGGTCTGGAGTGGCTTGAGCCATACCCTGCTTCAGAACTGAACCCAAGTGGGAGTGAGGGCAGCATGCAGCTAAAGGCACAAGTCTGGAAGTTTCAAATCCCAGGTCTGTCACTTTCTGGCTATAGGCTGGAAAAAATCCTTTAAATTTTTTTTTTTTTTTTTTTTTTTTTTTTGAGACGGAGTCTTGCTCTGTCACCAGGCTGGAGTGCAGTGGCGTGATCTCAGCTCACTGAAACCTCTGCCTGCCAGGTTCAGGCAATCCTCCTGCCTCAGCCTTCTGAGTAGCTGGGACTACAGGTGCCCGCCACCATACCCAGCTAATTTTTTTGTATTTTTAGTAGAGATGGGGTTTCACCATGTTGGCCAGGATGGTCTTGATCTCTTGACTTCGTGAAGTGCCTGCCTCGGCCTCCAAAAGTGCTAGGATTACAGGCATGAGCCACCGCACCCAGCCTAATTTAACTTTATTTATTTATTTATTTATTTAAGACAAAGTCTCACTCTGTCACCCAGGCTGGAGTGCAGTGGCGTGATCTGGGCTCACTGCAACCGCCACCTCCCAGGTTCAAGAGATTCTCCTGCCTCAGCCTCCTGAGTAGCTGGGAGTACAGGTACGTGCCACTACGCCCGGCTAATTTTTTGTATTTTTAGTAGAGACGGGGTTTCACCACGTTAGCCAGGATGGTCTCGATCTCCTGACCTCGTGATCTGCCTGCCTCGGCCTCTCAAAGTGCTGGGATTATAGGCGTGAGCCACCACATCTGACCCTGTTCTAACACTTTGGAGTGATCACAAACTCACATGCCTTCAGGTACCAGGGAGATTAAATGCACTTGGATTTAGGAAGATGGCAGTGGTGGGAGCTTCAGCTAACTGCAGCTTGCATACTACATCCAAAGTACTTAAATTCATCACTATGAGAAGCATAGTGTTTGATCAAATCAACGCCCCACTATTGGCCCCAGGAGGACTAGTAATTAGTGACCTCTGCTTAGAGTGATAGTGACAGGTTTTATTTGAAAACCTTTCAGAGGAGTCAGTGATTCCTTAGTAAAGTATACAGAATCTCCAAAGCAATGTGGAGTCAGGGGGACTGCCATAGAAATTACCTGAGAGCTCCAGAGAATATGGTTGGTTCCGCATAATGCAATTTTTACAAAGAAAAGTTATCCATCCAAGCCTCTCTTTTCCTAACATGTCCAGCCCCTGCCTGGTGGAAGCTCCCTATCTGATGGGAGACGGACAGAGTCTAGTCTAGGAAGGCAGAGCTCATGTCAGGGCAGGCCCCGAAGGGTCTGAGCTGACTTTCCTCAGGTAGAAATGAGGGTAAGTCTATATTCCTTGCAGGGTGAACAGTAGAATCAAAAGTTCTGAGGTGGGCCAGGCATAGCAGTGCACACCTGTATTCCCAGCATTTTGGGAGGCCCAGGCAGGAGGATTTCTTAAGGCCAGGAGCTCAAGACCAGCCTGGGCAACACAACGAGACCCTCGTCTCTACAAGAAGTAAAAAAATTAGTGGGGCTTGGTGGCACATGCCTATAGTCCTAGCTACTTGGGAGGCTGAGGTGGGAGGGTCACTTGAGGCCAGGAGTTCGAGTCTGTGGTAAGCTATGATCACGCCAGTGTACTCCAGCCTGGGCGATGGAAGGAAGGGGAGGGGATTGGAGGGGATGAGGGAGGGATGGGGTTAAAGGAAGGAGAGAAGAAAGAATGGAAGAAAGGAAGAACAAAAGCAAGAAAGGAAGGAAGAGAGGGAGGGAGGAAGGGAGGAAGAAAGTTAGTTCCAAGGTGGAAAATCAAGAGGCCTGTTTGGAGAAATGAGAGAAATCATGGGATCTGGCTTATGGGAAGAAGTATGGGAAATCAGGTTGGAAAGGCAGGTTCCAGGGGATCAGGCCCTCCCAGCCCTCTAATATGACAAAGCTAAGGATTCTTTGGTGACCAAAATTCTTCCTGGTGACCATTTCATTCTTGTGGAGCAAGTGCACTCAGTCCCCGAGAAGTACCTGGGGAGGGCTTGGTTGGAGCCCCAGTGACCAACCATTGCTCCCCACCAGGTTCCCAACAGGCACATGCTGGCTTGGGGTGCTCCAAGGCCCCCTGGAGGATATGGATCTGTCTCAGCCCAATTTCTTTCTCCTAAAGGATTAACTGAATATGAGGGAAGAGAGTAGATCACCAATCCTCAGAAAAGGCATTTAAGGGCCAAGCACGGTGGCACATGCCTATAATCCCAGCACTTTGGGAGGCCGAGGCAGGTGGATCACCTGAGGTCAGGAGTTCAAGACCAGCCTGCCAACATGGTGAAACCCCATCTCTACTAAAAATACAAAAACAAAACAAAACAAAACAAAAAATTAGCCAGGCGTGGTGGTGGGTGCCTGTAATCCCAGCTACCCAGGAGGCTGAGGCAGGAGAATCGCTTGAACCTGGGAGTGGGAGGTTGCAGTAAGCCAAGATCGTGCCATTGCAGTACAGCCTGGGCAACAAGAGCGAAACTTCGTCTCAAAAAAAAAAAAAAAAAAAAGGTGGGGGATATATGTTACCCAGGGTCTCAGAGCAAACTGAGGAGTCATAGAAGCCGAACTCCCACCTCTAGATTATTATTCCGAGGCCCACTCCCCAGCACCAGGCTGCCTCTTGAATTGTATGTGTCAACTCCAAGTACAGCACAATTACAGTTGCCGACACAACCCCCTTCCCATTCACCCGTGAGACGACAGGTCTTGGGCTAGGTTCTTGTCAAGCTCACTGGGTTCTCAGAGCAAGCCTATGAAGTAGGTACTACAATTATTCCCAGTTTCCAGATGAGGAAGGTGAAGCTCCGAGGGGCAAAATGACTTTCTTGTGCAAGGCAGAGCTGAGATTCCAAATAGAGCCATCTGACTTCAGAGGCCATGCACATCAGATAAAGGAAGCCTCACTGCAGCAGGGAGGGACACACACAGCCTTCCAGTCCTGTGGACAGCATTTCCAGAGGCCAAAGAATTGCACAGAGAAAAGACTGCGTAAACCAGGTTCTCCCCATAAAGCCCAAAGGAGGCATCCTGCATTCAGCCAGAGGCATCAGACTCCAGCAGCCAGCGGTTTCACCTGATTGCTTTTCTTCCTACTCTGCCACCCCTGAGACTATTCAAATACAATCTCCATGGAAGCAGAGGATTTGAGTCAGTTTTGTTCACTGATGATTTCTAGCACCTACAAGAGTGCCTGGTACATATGAGGAGCTATTAATAAATAAACACATGCTGGATAAAGTGGAAGATGAGTGTTTTTTAACCATAGGGAGATTTATTTTATTTTATTTTGAGATAGGGTTTTGCTCTCACCAGGTTGAAGTGCAGTGGTTCAATCTTGGCTCACTGCAGCCTTGACCTCCTGGGCTCAAGAGATCCTCCCACCTCAGCTTCCCAAGTAGCTGGGAGTAAAGGCACATGCCACCACATCAGGGTGATTTTTCATTTTATTTTTTGTAGAGACAGGGTCTCGCTATATTGCCCAGGCTAGTCCCAAACTACTAGCCTCAAGTGATCCTCCCACCTGGACCTCCCAAAGTGCTGGGATTACTGGCATGAAACACTGTGCCTGGCCAAGCTCCTGTACAGGGGAACTTCCATTAGCTGGGAGACCCAACTTGACCCAGTGGGGAGGTGCATTTGAATGACAGTGGCTTGGGGCAGAAGCTTTGAAAATGCTGCTGGATGAGCAGACTGGATAAGGAATACCACTGGGAGTCACTTTGTAAAGTGATAAACACATTAGTCAAGTAAAACTCTCCCTGAGTGATCATTTTTGATAAGCCTGGATTTTCTGGCTTTGCTCAGAGCAGGATTTGTTCCTTTCCACTCAGCAGATGTTTGTGAAGCATTATGTGTGCAAAGCTCTGTTGCCACATCTCAGGATCTGAGAAATGGAAGGAAGTGCAGAAACCACCCACCAGCCCCACTGTCCCTGAAGAGCAAGTGGGAGAGCTGAAGCCCAGAGAGACATTACTGGGGGAGACAGGAGGTCCCAGTCCAAGGCCTGCCCCTGGCTCTGTCCCTCATAGGCCTGCAAACTTTCAAAGTCAGCTGCTGGACCAGGCCCAGAATTCTAATAGCCAGAGTAACACTTCCTAATTTAACAAAGGGCTAGGCTGGAAAGTGTTCCTGTTTCTTGTTCCTGCTAGGGGTCCCCAAGAATTAAATGACTTTGCTGGCCAGGCACGTGGCTCACACCTGTAATCCCAGCAGTTTGGGAGGTCAAGATGGGAGGATCACCTGAGGTCAGGAATTTGAGACCAGTCTGGCCAACGTGGCGAAACCCCATCTCTACTAAAAATATAAAAATTAGTGAGGTGTGGTGGCACATGCCTGTAATCCTAGCTACTCAGGAAGCTGAGGCACGAAAATCATTTGAACCTGGGAGGCAGGGGTTGCAGTGAGCTGAGATTGTACCACTGCACTCCAGCCTGGGCAACAGAGCAAGACTCCTGACTCAAAGAGAAAAAAAAAAAAACACTGAGTGACTACCCCATTTACTAGGCATTGTGATTGCAGGGATGAGTAAGTCAGCATCGCTGCCATCAAGACATTTATAACCAGACCAGGTGGCACAGCGGCTCACGCCTGTAATCGCAGCACTTCAAGAAGCCAAGGTGGGTGGATCACCTGAGGTCAGGAGTTTAAGACCAGCCTGGCCAACATAATAAAACCTCATCTCGGCTGGGTGCGGTGGCTCACACCTGTAATCCCAGCAGTTTGGGAGGCCAAAGTGGGCAGATCACGAGGTCAAGAGATTGAGACCATCCTGGCCAACATGGTGAAACCCTGTCTCTACTAAAAATACAAAAGTTAGCTGGGTGTGGTGGCACGTGCCTGTAGTCCCAGCTGTTCGGGAGGCTGAGGCAGGAGAATTGCTTGAACCTGGGAGGTGGAGGTTGCAGTGAGCACCACTGCATTCCAGCCTGGCGACAGAGCAAGACTCTGTCAAAAAAAAAAAAAAAAGATATTTACAACCTGATTGGAGCGACAGTGTGCAAACAAATGATGTTGTGCACTAAGCACTCTGTGTGAAGACGGGTGTGGGGACTCAGAAGCACAGGAAAGAATGGCCTTTTCTACTGGGGCCAGCTGTTGGCATCAAAGAAGAAAAGAGGCCTGAACTGAATCTTGGAGGATCCTTGGTCCCTGCCTTCAAACAGTGTTGGGAGAAAAGCTGAGTGTTGGGAGAGAAGCTGAGGCAGGGGTTGCATGTCTGCTAGAATTGCTGGCTCCTTGCTTCTAGCACTCCCATTATCTCAAGCAGCTATATGTTTCTCATTCACTTGATACACTGTTTCCTTTCAACTCCCACATCCTCACCAACTGTTTCTTTGTTTGAGCATCAATAAATAGCATGGGCTTCCAGAGCTCCAGGGCCTTTGCAGCTTCCACACTCGCCATGACCCCTGGTCCCACTTTCTCTCTCAAACTTTTTTTTCATTCCTTTGACTCCACCAGACTTCGTCGTCCCCACAACCTGGTGTTGGGTCTGATCACCCCAACATTCCTGGCTGCCCAACGTGGGGCGACAAAGACCCCGGTGAAGGAACACTAGAGCATGTGAAAGCGGAGGACACATTGTCACAGGACACCCAAGAACGTCGAACGTCTAAAAGAAGCTCGGCAGGAAAGCTGAGCACTGGGAAGAACCAGGGTAACAATGGGACAAAGTGAAAGCAGACATTCTGCTTATTTAGATTTCTTAAAGCATTTATTACAAAGAGGGGGGCATGAAAGTTAGTACTCACAATTTGTTAATCACTCTTTAGTACAGTAAAGCAGTTTTGCCCATGGTTTCCTGAACAAGGGACTATGGAGTTGAATAA